>NC_000006.12:161282911-161434426 GCF_000001405.40 Homo sapiens
TACAATTTTGATGAACATCAATTTTAATTTTTGTACCTTACATATGAAGTTTAAGGTCTTTCAAAGTGTTTATCTATCTTATCATTTACATTTATTATTGTGTAAAACCTATTCTTATTCTTTACTTATTTATTTATTTATTTATTGGAGATGGAGTCTCACTCTGTCACCCAAGCTAGAGTGCAGCGGTGTGATCTCGACTCACTGCAACCTCCACCTCCTAGCTTCAAGCAATTCTCCTGCCTCAGCCTCCCAAGTAGCTGGGATGACAGGCACGAGCCACAGCACCCAGCCACCAGCAAACTTTAGAAAAGATGGTCAACCTCACTTGAACACATCCATCAGAATGATTCAAATACAGAAGATGAAATACACCAGCTGTGGCAGGAATATGAAGCAACTGGAGTTCACATTTCTGGAGCAAAGAAAAGGAATGCAACTTGTGTGGGAAAGTCATGCAATGGGTTCTCCTAAAGTTGAAGATAGGCATACCTGTGACCTGGCACTTCCACATTTAAGCACACACCATTATAAATAGCACTGGGCCAGGCTCTATGGCTGATGCCTGTCATCCCAGCACTTGGGAGGCTAAAGCAGGCAGATCACTTGAGGTCAGGAGTTCAAGACCAGCCTGGCCAACATGGCAAAAACCCATCTCTACTAAAAATACAAATAAAATTAGCTGGGCATTGTGGCGCATGCCTGTAATCCCAGCTACTCGGGAGGCTGACGCAGGAGAATCGCTTGAACCCAGGAAGCAGAGGTTGTGGTAAGCTGAGATCGTGCCACTGCACTCCAGCCTGGGCGACAGAGTGCAAACAACTGCAAACAAACTGATATTCATAAAAACTAGAACAAGTAAATAAATTGTGGTATACTTATGCTATAAGACACTACTCAGCAATGAAAATGAATAAAACTCAGCTAAATGCAACAACATGAAAAAATATCACAAATATAATTTGGACCCAAAGAAGCTAGACACCAAAAATTATCACTCTATGATTCCAAGAGAAGTTTAAAACTGGGGACGATGAGTCTATGTGTCAAGATAATGTTACAAATCTCTGTGGTTACCTTTGGAGATGCAGGTGGGGTGGGGAGTGGGAGGGGTAGGAAGGGGACTTCGGAGGTGCTGTAATATTCTCCTTCTTGTTTGGGGTTGTCATCACATGCTGTATGCACTTTGGGGAAATTCATTGATATGTGTACACTTATGGTCTGTGCCCTTTTTTGTATTCATGTGATTTCAATAAAAAAGCTAAAAAGAAAAATTATTCACTCCAACTTCTCCATCTGTTGTCCAAGAGAAAACTCTAGATCTCCCTCCAAAACAACAGATTTTAGTCTCTCCCAGTCCCATACTAATTTTGAAATGTATTTCTCTTTATTCAGGTTACCCAGGAATGAAATTGATTCTAGCTTTGGTTTCTGAAAAGGGCTTCATGAACACTGTCACAGGTAAGCCTGGCCTATGTGATATGACTGGCATACACTATAATAGTTTGCATTTGTTGAGACAACCTTTGCCATTATTCTGTTTTTTTTTTTCACCTGGATCTGTTTGGACGCCTTTCCTTATTATAACAATACGTCATATAATTTAGTATTCTTTTTAACAGTAAAAAGTATATTTTATCAAGCCTTTGATACTTGATACTTGAGATGAAGGCTCACTGCAGTCTCAAACTCCTGAGTTCAAGCAATCCTCCCACCTCAGCCTCCCGAGTAGTTGGGACAACAGGCACACGCCACCACGCCCAGCTAACCATACCTGGCTAATTCTTCTAGTTTTTTTTGTTTTTTTGTTTTTATTTTTTTGTAGAGACAAGATCTTGCTATTTTGCCCAGGCTGTTCTCAAACCCCTGGGCTCAATCGATCCCCCCACCTCTGCCTCCCAAAGTGCTAGAATTACAGGCATGAGTCACTACACCTGGCCTGAATTTCCTTCTTTCTTGGGACAATTGTTACATTGTTTTCTTAGAACCCAGCATCTAGGAAATGGGAAGATGTTTGTCTAAATGCATAAACTCAGTTAAAAAATGAATAAGTTCTGAAGACCTGACGTACAGCATGGTGACTACAGTTAATAATGCATTCTATACTTGAAATTTGCTGAGAGTAGACCTTAAGCGTTCTCACCACAAAAATAGGAATTATGTGAGATGATGGATATATTAACTAACTTGGTTGTGGTAAGCATTTTACAATGTATTCATATATCAAATTCTTTTTTGTCAATTATGCCTCAATAAAGCTGAAAAACAACACAAAAACCCAGCAGTCAGCTTAAATCCCAAAGAATTAAATCCCAAAGAATGAGAGTCTCTGCAGTTTATTGTATACTCACCCTGTTCCGGGAAGAACAAATAGAAACATATGCTAAGTATATCGCATACGTATTTCATTTGTTTTTGTGTTTCACAAAGCTATGCTTTGATATAGCATCACTGATTTATGGAAGAGGAAACTGAGGCTCAGAGAGGTTGAGAACTTCCTTCAAGGAGAAGCAGAACTGGACCTAACTCCAGGGCAGTTAGGCCCTAACCCTAAGAAGTTCTCAGAGAGGCTGAGAATTCCTACAATGGTAAGTAGACCTGGACCTAACACCGGGGAAGTTAGACTGTAAAGCCTGTTACCTCGGGCACCATGTTCCCTTCCCTGCTCCACCTTCTCACTAAGTAGATTCAGGGGTTTGTCTCCCTTGCATTTTCTTTTTTGTCCAGATGCACAAGTCACTTTAGCAAGCAATCTTGATAATTTCCTCTCTTATTTCATCCCCCAAAACATGACATTCCAAGGATCCTCCAGAACTAAAACTGACAACTTCAGAAAATACCTGTGATGGTCAGGCATAGGGGCTCATGCCTGTAATCTCAGCACTTTGGGAGTCTGAGGTGGGCGGATCACTTGAGGTCAGGAGTTCGAGACCAGCCTGGCCAACATGGGAAAACCCTGTCTCTACTAAAAATACAAAAAAATTACCAGGGCACGGTCATGTGTACCTGCTACTCGGGAGTAGTTCCAGCTACTTGGGAGACTGAGGCAGGGGAATTGCTTGAAGCTGGGAGGTGGAAGTTGCAGTGAGCCGAGATCGCAGCACTGCATTCCAGCCTGGGGGACAGAGCAAGACCCTGTCTCAAAATAAATAAATAAATAAATAAATTAAAAAGAAAGAAAATACCTGTGGTGAGCCAAGTAACCATGCTTGTAGCCCCAGTCGCAGCAAGATTGATTTCAGTGTATTCTGTTGGTGCCTGTGGCTCCCCATGGGTGCCTTGGCTTCTTACATGTGAATATAGAGCCACAAATCCCAAGAACAAATAGCTGTGACACTGATGATTGGCCTAGAGAAGGCTTGTCTCTGGAAAAGGCTGAGGTGGCTCAGTGGTGAGATGTCACTCTTTCCTGGGGAGTCCACCTAGCTGGAGGTACAGGGCAACCCCTCTTCCAGCTGCATTTAACTGTGAGGGACGGAGGAGGCTGGTGGGGAGAAGAGTCAATGGTTAACTTCTACGAAAGATTTCACCCAGTGCCCAGGAAGGAGCAGGTGTTTCCTGCAAGCAGTTAGTTTGCACAAGCCTCATTCATTCATTCATTCATTCATTCCACACACATGTGCCTGCTGGGAGGCAGGCCCTCTTCCGGGAGCCTGGCATTCTTCAGGGAACCCAACAAAGATTCTGGGCATTATGGACTTTCCTTTCTAGTGAGAAGAGACTGAAAACAAAGGACAATTATAATGAAGAAATTGCCTAATAAGTTAGACATTGTTATTTATGGAAGAATGAAAAAGAGTTGGGAAGGAGTATCAGAGTCCTGGGAGGTGAGCAGTTTGGAAGGTGAATAGGTCAGTGATGAGGTCAGCGCCGGCCTCACTGAGGTGAGGTTTGAGCAGCGATTTGGGGGCAGACAGGAGCTATCTCCATGATGCACACCGGAGCCAAGAGCATTCCGGGAGGAAGGAAGGAGCCAGGGCCACAGCTCCGCAGCAGGAGCATGCTGGCTGGTGGGAGCACCCAGGAGGCTGCGGGAGAGGGAGTGGTCTGGAGGAAGAGTGGAAGAGTTAAGGTTCCAGAGACCACAGAGTCACAGGGGCTTTGCAGGATGGGGCAAGGACCTTGGGCTTTTACACTGAGTAACATGGGGACCTGCTGCAGGGCGATGGGCTGAAAAGTGACATGGCATGAGAAAGTTTTCAAAGAGTCATTCTGGCTGGCATGTTGAGAAAAAAACCATGTGAGGCACAGGACAATGCAGGGAAAGGAATGGGAGGTGGTTGCAGTGACCAGCAAGAGGCACTATTAGTGTAGCCCAGGAGGACCAAGGACCTCCTGGCAGACTGGATATGGGGTGTGAGAAGAACAGAGTCAAGGCTGAGTGCAAGGCTTGTGGGTGAGCAGCTGGGGGGACGAGACTACCTGTGAGAACGGCAAGGAATTGGGGGGAAAAATGAGTGTTGTTTTTGACATGTTCAGGTTGAGACACCTATTCATTACCCAAGTGGCGATGTGCTGGAGGCAGCAGGAGTCTGCAGTTCAGGAGAGAGACCTAGGCTAGAGATAAACATTTTCAGAAGAGTCACCATAGATGGTATCACCTTGAAACTGAAATCATGGCAGGATTACCTGATGAAACCCAGCATGCCCAGAGACATTTGGACTCAGACAAATAGTCAATACTCTTTAGCATAAGTATGTCTTGTGCAATTTTTACTTATTAACTAAGTAAATATTTGGGGCCATGCAATATTTGGGACATGCTTATGCCATAAAACTCTTTGTCGTTGATCTGAAATTCGATGTCACTATGAATAGGAGGGCTGGATTTTTATTTCGGATGCTGGCAGTGCTGCCTTGGGACAGAGAGCAGGCAGGGCAGGGGTCTGAGGATGGAAACCCGGGCTCTGCAGCACTCAGAGGAGGGAGAAGAGAAGGAACAAATGAAGGAGTCTGAGTGATGAATGAGGCAGAGAAAATGATCCTAGAGTAGGGCATCTTGGATCCCTGGGTTGGGGGTAAAGAGCGTTACAGAGGAGGCAGTGATCTGCAGGCCTCCAGTCAGACAAGGACTGGAGTTAACTGTCCGATTTGGCAATGGGGAAACCATTGGCCACCCTGACAAGGCAGTTGCCTCCCAATAGCCTGAGCATTTTGGGAGCTCTGTGTTTGCTGCAGCAGGGGCCCGCAATACTCTGAATTAGTTCATCCACACTCAATTGGTAAAAGCATTCAAGGTGAGTTTCACCTTTGTGCTCACTGTAGAATCTTTTTTTTTTTTTTTTTTTTTTTTCCAGATAGAGTCTCACTCTGTCACCCAGGCTGGAGTACAGCGGTGCAATCTTGGCTCAGTGCAACCTCCACCTCCCAGGTTCTAGCAATTCTCCTTCCTGAGCCTCCTGAGTAGCTGGGACTACAGGTACATGCTGCCACGCCCAGCTAATTTTTTTGTATTTTAGTAGAGACGGGGTTTCACCATGTTGGCCAGGCTGGTCTCAAACTCCTGAGCTCAGGCAATCCACCTGCCTCGGTCTCCAAAGTGCTAGGATTACAGGCGTGAGCCACTGCACCTGGCTTTTTTTTTTTGAGACAGAGTCTCACTCTGTCACCCAGGATGGTGTGTAGTGGCACAATCTTGGCTCACTGCAACCTCTGCCTCCTGAGTTCAAGCGATTCTCCTCCCTCAGCCTCCTGAGTAGCTGGGATTACAGGCACAAGCCACCACCCCGGCTAATTTTTGTATTTTTAGTAGAGACGGATTTTGTCATGTTGGCCAGGCTGGTCTTGAACTCCTGACCTCAGGTGATCCGCCCACCTCGGCCTCCCAAAGTGCTGAGATTACAGGTGTGAGCCACCGTGCCCCACCTGAATCTTTCCATCTTGAAGAGGCCCTAGGGGAACACAATCAGTGGATTTTTCAATGGATTCACCACTAGCATCCTTCAGAAAAGGGCAGCCTTGCATATGGGTGAGGAATTGAGTAGATAAATGGTAAAGTGCACTGATAAAAATAGGGAACTGGCCGTGCGAGGTGGCTCACACCTGTAATTTCAGCCCTTTGGGAGGCCAAGGTGGATGCATCACTTGAGGTCAGGAGTTCAAGGCCAGCCTGGCCAACATGGTGAAACTGCGTCTCTACTAAAAGTACAAAAATTAGCTGGGCATAATGGCACATGCCTGTAATCCCAGCTACTCAGGAGGCTGAGGCAGGAGAATCGCTTGAAGTTGCAGTGACCCGAGATTGCACCATTACACTCCAGCCTGGGTGACACAGCAAGACTACAAAAAAAAAAAAATTAGGAAACTGACTGACGATAAAACTGGAGGAGTTTCCCACAGGGAGCAGCAGAAGTGAGGCCCATCTGGAAACTGGAGTTTGCAAGAGCAGCAGGAGCTGGAGGTGCCCACCACCTACAACACACCAGAGCCACCTTCCAAAGCTCAAATCCCACATCTATTTTTCTGGAAAAAGTAAGCATTGTTGGTACCACTTGAATCTTCTACTTCTTTTAAAATATAGTTGTTTCCGGCCAGGCGCAGTGGCTCACGCCTGTAATCCCAGCACTTTGGGAGGCTGAGGTGGGCAGATCACTTGAGATCAGGAGTTCAAGACCAGCCTGGCCAACATAGCGAAACCCCGTGTCTACTAAACGTACAAAAAAATTAGCCGGGCATGGTGGCATGCGCCTGTAAATCCAGCTACTCGGGAGGCTGGGGCAAGAGAATTGCTTGAACCTGGGAGGCGGGGGTTGCAGTGAGCCAAGCTCCCACCACTGCACTTCAGCCTGAGTGACGGAGTGAGACTCTGTCTCAAAAAAAAGAAAAGAAAGAAAAGAAAATTAGCCTGGGAGCACATATGTACACAACTGCAAATTATCTACTTGCCTTTAAAAAAAACGTTTACTCTCACAACGTTGTGACTACTATAGAATCCATGTACTTAATTAAGTCTAAATTCATTTGGTTATCATGAGTTATCCCCCTAAAAAACTCAATGACATAACTTTGAAAAATAATTTGCATAGAGCTCTATAAGCAAATTATTACACGACTATTTATGAAAGCGTTTTGTGTATTGCACATTTAATCAGAAAGGGGTGTCTGGTTAACCGTGCTGCTGGTTCTTTAAAAAAATAATGTTTGGTCAAACACAGTGGCTCTCACCTGTAATCCCAGCACTTTCGGTGGCCAAGGCAGGAGCATCGCTTGAGCCCAGGAGTTTGACACCAGCCTGAGCAACATAGTGAGAGTCTGTCTCTACAAAATAAAATGTAATTAAAAATAATTATTATTGACTTAAATGGAAAATATTACATATTTATAAATTGTTTGTGAAAACTTACTTATTCTGGTACTGAAGCTAATGTGTCTAATGTATGCTTTCCAATGTTCTGTGATTTTTTTTGAAATAAGTATTATTTACTCTTTGTTATCTGCCTAATAGTAAAGTGGTGAGGCCCTATTCCACACATTCTGTGACTCAAACTTTTCGTTTCTATTAAAGCAGTGGCTATAAAACTTCAGAATACACTAGAATGTCCTGGAGGGTTTGTTAAATCACAGAGTTTCTGACTCTGTAAGTTGGCAGAGGGAATTCTGAGAATTTACCTTTCTAAGTTTCCAGGTGATGTACCTGGAGAATGACTGTATTAGAGCATATTTATTAAAAAGTTCCCCACACAGGGCCAGGTGCCGTAGCTCAAGCCTGTCATCACAGTACTTTGGGAGGCCAAGGCAGGAAGATCACTTGAGCCCAAGAGTTTGAGACCAGCCTGGGCAGCATAGGGACACCCCCATCTCTACAAAAACAAAAATAAAAAACTAGCCGGGCATGATGTTGCACACCTGTGGTCCCACCTACACAGGAGGCTGAGGCAGGAGGATCACTTGAACCAGGAGGTCGAGGCTACAGTGAGGCATGATTATGCCACTGACCTCCAGCCTGGGTGACAGTGAGAACCTGTCTCAAAAAAAAAAAAAAATTCCACACCCACAAATAAAGTTCCCCACACAGAACCATGCAGGGGCCATGAGGAACATCTGTCCCCATTTCCTGCTTTACGGATGAGAAAACCATGATGCAGATAACCATGATGAATAAATGTCAGCATCGCTCCAGGGTCCATGTCCAATCTCCCAGAATTCCAGAGGAGCTCATTGCCATTTCCATCCACTGACATTTCCCTCATATCTGTTCCAGGCAGAGAGGAACTAATTTTTCTTTTTAAATCTCTCTTAGTCAAAAGGGAACCTATTTTTAAATATGTTTAAATTATGCAAGTTTGTTCTTTCTTTTGATAATAGGCAGAAAGGAGTTTGAATCAGGGCTAGAAGAAAGAAATAGCCTTTGTAAATATCAAGGACTTTCACGTTTCTGGCTATCCTTCTTTGAACTGGAACCTCAGCCTTGCTTCTCCATCTGAATTAGATAAGCCACACCTTTGATGCCCATGGTCCTTTGGGAAGTTCCTCCCCACAGACCCCTGGGGAGGTGCCGTGAAAAAATCCTAGCCGCTCTCACACACGGCTGCTAATGTCTTGGCCTGTATGACTTTGTCCCTCTGATTAGAGGAAGGGGCTCACTCCTGTCACCAGGGAAGGCATTTGGCTGCTCCCTGAGCCCTCCCAGGACCACCAGAACTCTACAAACCTGCCCCAATCCCCACTGCCTGGCCCCCACCCAGGCACCCCTACTCAGGTCCTGGTGGCTTGGGGAACCCTGGGAGGTCCCCATGGACATGGGGCACTCATTTCCCCCATGCTGGGATATCCACCTATCTGGGGGGTTCTGCTGCCCCCAGTCAAGGTTCCACACAGGAGGCTGATGCAACAGGCAGTAGGTCTCCTTTGACACCCTCGAAAGAGCCTTTGCGAAAATTATAACTAAGGAAATTATGACAGTGAAAGAGATCAGACCTAATTGACTCCATCTTGTTTGCAACCGTTAAGCTGTCCCTGTTCATTCTTGGGCATAGGCCGAACTAACTTTGGGAAGGAATTCAGTTCATGGCTTGACTCTGAAACAAAACAGATAACGGCCCTTTCCTGAAAAGACCACCTTTTATCTGGGGACCAGTGTGTCTTTGCAGGACTAACAAATGAGTTACAATATTAGAAATTATGGTTTAGGGGTCATGTAACCTCTGGCTCCAAGAGCCTGAACCTCCCCAAATTGTTCTTGGGGATAACATCATTATTGCAAAACCTAAGGTCACTGCTTGAGATATTTTGTGGACCCTACACTGGATGGATCAACTAACATCACCCAGTCCTGTAATCTGAACCAGCTCTGCCATCGCACCCAGGAACAGAAGACAGTAAGGAAACCTCACTTCGACCTCTCGTGATTCCATCTGCAACCTGACCAGTCAGCACTCCCCACTTCCTAAGCTCCTACCCACCAAATTGTCTTTAAAAACTCTGATCCTGGAATGCTCAGGGAGACTGATTTGCATATCAATAAAACTCTGGTCTCCTGCACAGCAGGCTCTGCGTGAATGACTTTCTCCATTACAATTCTCCTGTCTTGATAAATCGGTTCTGGGCAGTGGGCAAGGTGAACCCATTTGGCAGTTACAATTTTGGGGGCTCATTTGGGATTGCCCGTGGCTGCCCATGGTTTGGTAGCCCCCCTCTGGCAATGGATCCAGAGGCCAGCCCAAGCAGGTACCTAGTTCTCTTGAACTGGGGGCTGACTCTGGAACCGGCCTCTACCAGCGGAGCACTGCTGACCCAATGAACATGGATTTAACTGTAATGGAAAAATAATTCTGGGGAAACATCCCATAACTGTAGCCCTATCACAGGGTGTCTGTCTGTAGCCGCATGGTGGGGTGTCTGATTTGGTGAGTATCCTCGGTGCTGCCAACAGCCTCTTCCTTCTCCTGATTTATTGGCGTCTCTGGAGGTGCTGCTGTCTCTTGGTAGCCTCTCAGGGTGTCTGTCTGTAGCCCTATTATGGGGTGTCTAATTGGACAGAGAATAGGATACTTGTTTGAAGGAATACTCTTGGTTTGAGACTGGGTCTAGAATCTGTGTCGTGAAGGTCTTCTGTTCATCTTACTCTGTGCGTATGTGTGTTTATACGTGCAGAGGAATTGCTGATGGACGTCCAGCAGGCCTAACTCAGGGAGGCTGTCTGTTCTTCTGTGCTGCCTAAAGACGTCACTGGGTCCCTGGCCAAAGGTTATCTCTCCTCCCTGTGAGAGAACTGCAGACAAGGACCAAGAGGAGAAAGTTTGAGCCTTGCCAGGTCGATACTGGGTGCCGAATGAGGTGAATAGTGTCTGTTTTGTTATGTGTATTTTGCCTGTTTTGTGTACTTTGTGTAGTTATTTTAATGTATTTATTATGTATATTTTGTTAGTGTATTTTGTTACATGTCTTTTACTGGGATGGAAAATGTTAATTTGATTCCCCATAGCCTGCTGGGCAGCATCTTCCAAAATTAAGAATCTTTTGCCTATGGTTCCATAAAACAGAAAAGGGTGAATTTTTTTTTTTTTTTTTTGGTTAAGTGGCTCGATCCCCAGAGCTAAGACACAGGGAACAAGGTAATCAAAAGCCGCTTTGTTCTTCTGGAAGCTGCAGAGAAAGGGAACCTGGAAACCTAGTGTGCTTGCAAAAAGGGTAAGAATGTTTTACTAGCCAAGTTTCTGGTAACCTTCTCTCTCTCTCTGCGTGTGTATGTGTGTGTATTTGAGTGCAAATGGTAAACATCACTGTTTGTCTCCTCTGAAAAGATTTGATTAATAGAAAAAAAGGATCTGTGGGACTAGTCTTGGAGTATAACAAACCTGGTATACTTTGTGCTAAGAATTTGCCTTTCTGTATTGTTCTGTAATGGAGAGAGGGTTATCACAAGATAAAATGTGAGCGTAGAACCCCTATAAGCCTGCTTTTCAAGCCAGCCTGGCAGGCTGGTCAGTTACAAACTTTACTGAGGGTCCCTGAAACCAAAACCAGATGAAGTTTCTCTTTATGTCCTTGAGAGCTTAACCTTGTGACCATGTGGGGATACCTTAGTCTCTGCCATCCAGAGGACTGGAATTTTGGGTTCATGTCATAGTTAGCCCTAAAAATCATCTTGAACAGTTAAAAGCCTTTGCAAGCTTGAAATGGACTCCTCTAGACTCCTTCTGGAGTGAACAATGAAACCCACTCAATTCTGTAGCTCAGTAGCCAAAGCTTTGTCTACTGACAGTGCTCAGATTCAAATCTTGGCTTAGAGAATGACTCCTTTCTGGTTTCTCATTTGTGTAACTTTTTGCCATTTATTGATTATTTTCCCACCATGGATAGCTTTTGATTTCCTGTCTTGAATTTTCCTTTGTCTGAACTACCTGTGGGAAGATTCTCAAACTTATTTAAAAAAAAAAAAAGAAAAGAAAAGAAAAGAAACTGCTTACTATCTCTTTGGGAGACCTTATGTGTCCCTGGTTAGGTAATAACCTAATATTTAAAATTTACTAATTTTGGCCCGGTGCAGTGGCTCACGCCTGTAATCCCAGCACTTTGGGAGGCTGAGGCGGCAGGGTCACAAGGTCAGGAGTTCAAGACCAGCCTGAACAACATGGTGAAAACCCGTCTCTACTAAAAATACAAAAATTAGCTGGGCGTGGTGGCTTGTGCCTGTAATCCCAGCTACTTGGGAGGCTGAGGCAGGAGAATCGCTTGAGCCCGGGAGGCAGAGGTTGCAGTGAGCTGAGATCGCGCCACTGCACTCCAGCCTGGGCAACACAGTGAGACTCTGTCTCAAAAAACAAACAAACAAACAAAAAAAACTTACTAATTTCACATAAGAGGTTACCTGCAGTAAAGTTCAGAAGCCAGAAATATTGTCTGTCCTGACTAGAGTCTGATCATAAGAAATTTAAAAAAAAAATTAAAAGAGCTCTATGGTTAAAATCAGCTTAATTAAAAACAGATATCCAAGCACTCTCTCTCTATATTTTTTTAAAGGGCTTTATTTTTTTTTCTCAGATCTTGGTTGTTTTTAAGAAAAAATTTTTATTTGTTTGTTTTTCTTCTCAGTCAACTGAATTATTTCTCCATTTTGCCCTCTTGCTAACCTTGATGCCCACACAAGAAAACCTAAGATAATTTCTAACAACTTCCATTATGGAAAAAACAAAATACAAACAAAAAAACCCTCTGTTTTCCTCATGGAACCCTGGAAGTTGGAAGCAGATAAATTTCTCTCAAAATCTAAGGCTTTGGTTGGTTTGACATTATGTTACCTAACATTTTTTTTTCTGTGACTTTTGGGAGCATCAGCAATTTCTTTACATTATGGGAGAAGTTTTAGCCTTGGTGTGTAATGGCATTTCCCTCTTTTTTAGGATCTGGGATACAATATAAACATGGGACCCTTAACTGTAGGGATTTGTTTTTTCCCTTCCAGCTGTGCCTACTTATTATCCCCTAAAAACTACAGGCTCTCCTGACCCCGTCTGTTGAAGGGCTCCACCCTGAAACCAGTAATCCAATTAAGAAACTTTAAGGAATTGGCAAGTGAAAAAAATCTTACAACTACTGGATCTTCTGTCTGTATTTATATGTGTTGTGTATGTATTGTTTATATAAAAGAGCTCTAATTAATTGGCTTAAAGAAATAAACACTTAAATATTTTGTCAGGAAAATTAAAACTAATGCCTTTTAGTTCACATGACTTTAACAATCTTTCAGAAATAAAGACAGTTTTAAAGGTTATTGGTAAAATATAAACGTCTTCAAAATTTAGACATTTGGTCTAAATTAGGTCAGATATTAAGTTTACTAAATGCTTTAAGGTCATAAACTGTTTCTTTGACTTTTGAAAATTATTTAATTTATCTACCTTGAAGCCATTAAATTCTAGATAAGGCCTAGAGAAATGTAGAATTAACCATGCCCCCTAAATATACACAAAAAAAAGGGTTATAAAGAAAAGAGATTTTATATAAGAAAAGATCTTGTCTGGTAAATTCTTGTCCTAAAGTAAATTAACTGGCTATTTAAAAATAGAGATGTTTAGGGCAAGACAGAAAGTCCAAACATATCATAGATTGTCTGTGTAAGTTGTAAAAAGATTCGTGAAAGGGAATTTATACAAGAAATGTTGTACAATTCAAAGGTTGTTAGGCCTCCTAAATGCTTCATAAAATACTTGATAAAATGCCACTATGACTCTTACTGTACAACTTGCCTACTTTACAACTAAATAAGGCCTGGGACATGTGAAATGAACTGTGCCCCCTAACTATACTGGAAAGAGTCAGACCTTCTGGTGTCCCACATCCATACCTGGTATATAATTATCACTTACTAACCAGGTTTTTTAACAAAAATAAAGTTACTAAGAGTTAACAGTGTTAACACGTATTTGAGACTACTGAATAAAGACTTCTACACACAAGGTGTGTAAGGAAAGTAGAATGTACTTTTGGTATAAAAAAATTATAAAAAGATCTGGGAATGTGGATTTCTTGCCTCAGTTTAGAGGCTTAAAGGATTGTTTTAAGCAGGATAGGAAAGATCTAAAGGTTTGAACAAGTTGTGGAAGGTTTATAAAAAATTAGTTGTAAAAGATTCTGTGTGTGAACATATTGACTAAAGTTAAAGTGACATTACTCAGTTCTCCCATAAATTGGACATTGGAATAAAAGCACAACAGAGTTTTCTGAGAACATTGTTCTGCAATAAAAAAATATAAAGGGTTATAAAAGGCTTATACAAATCTTACAGTCAAACTAATTAAAACTGGATACATTTATAGAATTTTATCAAAAACTAGCTTTAGCATTAAAGATGCACTAATACATCCATGAAATTTGTTTTTTTCTTTTGAAAAAGAGTTTTACATAATATTGAGAGACACTGAAAGATTTTTGTTTGCCTTTTAAGAAAACTACAAAAATAAGGGGAGGGGAGGGAAGAGAGAAGAGGAGAGAAAACTGGCCTCAAACTATATTCACTGGGACTTGTTTAGAAAGCCAAGTCTCCTCTTCATCAGAATAAAGGTTTTTTTTTCCTTTTTAAAATTTTTGAGTTATCACTTTGGCTAAATAAATGACTTACGGTAACCTAGAATTCTATTTTGTAATCTCCAGTGTTTTAAATCTTTGATATTTAACCAACCTCCCAAAATCAAACTTAAGTAAAAAACAAGAAAAAAAAATTAGGTCCCCTGAAGTCCAAAAAAGACATATTTGACTTACTTAATGTATTAAAATCATACAGGAAACGTAAAATATAAAATGGTGTTTAATTTTCTTTGGTTTATTTGCATATAAATTTGTTATTAGTATGTGTATACATAATTACATAAGATTTCTATAATTCTGATATGCCTCAGTATATGTCATCAGTAATAACTATAATTGTTATGTTAAATTATTGTGTGTCACAGAGGTAACAAATTTCTCTGTTAATTGTGTCTTTGACTGTGGCTTCCCTAAAACTTTGTTGTCATCCACAGAAAATTGTTGTCTGGATTTGGTCCTCTTTAAAAGTTGGTTTTATGATCAACTATAAAACTCTGACAAGTGCTCTTAAGTACAAATTTCTGATAACTTTAAAGATTATTACATTAGAGTAAAGGAAAAAAGCCTTTCAAGGCTCTCATAGAGAACTAAAATATTAATGAATATCAAACAGAATAAGAATTACCTAAATGGACTGAACTAATAGAAAACTGAAGTAATCTTTTTTAACTTTTTTTGCTTAAAACAATGCTGATCCTTTTCATTTTTCAGATCCAAGGAAACCTTTCTTTTGAACTATTTCCAACTTCTAACAATTGAATAAAATATACTCCTGTGAAAAAAATTTAGAACATACATTTTTTCTCTCTACCTAATTTCTCCACAATTTAAAAATTTTGTGAGCATTCTTTACTTATGACAATATGGTTATTTACATAAGTACAATAAGAATATTTTCTTTTACAACATAACACAATTAGAGAAACTGGTTATTTCACCAAGACTGACTAGAATGACATACTTTCCTTTAAAGAATCAAACTTGACTTGTAGAACCAATAAAAACCCCTTGAGAAAACTGGCCTCATACCTTGTCCACACAGTCCCTATACAGTGTTCCTGACCTGTGATAAATAAAGAATGTCACTTTCTAACAGGCCCAGGTGCCCTATGGTATCTTGGGACCTCAAGAGAAGAGGAATTTACCCAACTCATAGGTACTTGAGGCTACAAACCCATGACAGGACTTGGCTTTAAAAAGTCTTATCTGAGATTCCTTATGGAACAGAGTTCCATCAAAGCAAAATTTAAAAGCCTATGTAAAAAATAACTATTCTTACTGCACTTCATACAAATAATCAGACCAAGTATAATAAAACTAAAATTTATTCTACAAACAAGTCAATCCTATTATGATTTGTTAATAAAAATAAGGATTGGAAAGAGAAAAATTGTGTTCCAAAAACTATAGTACACCTGTTGTTGGTTGTTTTTGAGTTTTTATTTTTATTTTTCTTCAATTTAGACTTAATCCTAAATTATTTATAGACTACAAGTCTCCAAACTAATATTTTCAAATCTTTACTTTTAAAACTGAGAATTATACTCCTTATCCTATAACTCATTTTTTACCTTATAGTACATTGTCCACTTAAATCTGTGCTAAAACTATAGATGGGAATACTAACACTTTTGTCATAAAAGCCTTGGAGGCCGGGTGCAGTGGCTCACGCTTGTAATCCCAGCACTTTGGGAGGCTGAGGTGGGCGGATCACCTGAAGTCAAGAGTTCGAGACCAGGCTGACCAACATAGAGAAACCCTGTCTTTACTAAAAATAAAAAATTAGCTGGGCGTGTTGGTGCATGCCTGTAATCCCAGCTACTCGGGAGGCTGAGGCAGGAGAATTGCTTGAACCAAGGAGGCGGAGGTTGCAGTGAGCCAAGATCACGCCATTGCACTCCAGCCTAAGCAACAAGAGCAAAACTCCGTCTCAGAAAAAAAAAACCTTGGACTCCCAGCCCAGCCTATGTGAGTATGCTCAAAAAACTCAGACAACTACAAAGTGGTTCCACTCCTCTCACCTGGGAGTCAACTCCTACCCCCACTATGCCCCCTGTCAGGAGAAAGAAGCCAGAGTGATTGATGGCTGTTTCCCATCTGCATAGCCCACACCTTAAGAATAAGATGCTTTGAAACCCAAAGGGAGGGATTGAAACTGCTTTTGCAAAAATTATACCTAAGGAAAGTATGACAGTGAAAGAGATCAGAACTAATTGACTCCATCTTGCTTCTAACCTTTAAGCTGTCCTTTTTCATTCCTGGGCATAGGCCAAACTAACTTTGGGAAGAAATTCAGGTCATGGTTTGACTCTGAAACAAAACTGATAATAGCCCTTTCCTGAAAAGACCCCCTTCTTGTCTGGGGACTAGTCGGCCTTTGCAGGACTAACAAATTAGCTACAAGATTAGAAATTACAGTTTGGAGGTCATGCAACCTCTGGCTCCAAGAGTCTGAACCTCCCCAAATTGCTCCTGGGGATAACATCACTATTGTAGAACCTAATATCAGCGCTTGAGATATTTCGTAGACCATACACTGGATGGATCAACTACCACCACCTAGAATGGTAATCTGACTCAACTAGTTCTGCCATCCCACCCAGGAACAGAAGACAGCAAGAAAATCTCATTTCAATCCCGCTATGATTCCATTTCCAACCTGACCAACAGCACTCCCCACTTCCCAAGCTCCTACCTGCCAAATTATCTTTAAAAACTCCAATCCCCAAATGCTTGGGGAGAGTAATTTGAGTAATAATAAAACTCTGGTCTCCCACACAGCTGGTTCTGCATGAATTACTCTTTCTCCATTATAATTGTATTGTCTTGATAAATCAGCTCTGTCTGGGCAGCTGGCAAGGTGAACACATTTTCTCCCCAGTCTAGAGAGCGAAAACAGGATCTTACATTATCACGAATTTTCTAAACTCTTTTATGACATAAACTCAGCTCTGGAAATCCTGTATCTCTTTCTCTTAAACTATTATCTTGGCTTATTTTGAAAGTCAGAAGCTAACCCAGCATGATTCACAATAGCCAAAATATGGAAACTACCCAAACATCTATCAAGAGATGAATGGATAAACAAAATGTGGCATAGCCATACAATTTAATGTTATTTGGAAATAGAAATAAGTACTGACGCATGCTACGACATGGATAAAGCATGAAAACATCATGCTGCATGAAATCAGCCAGACACAAAAGGACAAATATTGTATGAATCCATTTATATGGGCCTAGAATAGGCAAAGTCATAGAGACTGTGTGATAGAGGTTACCAGGGGCTGGAGACAGTGGGTACGGGAAGTTATTATTTAATGGTGTTTTAGTTTGCTATGGCTACTATAATAAAATACCAAAACCTGGCTAGCTTAAATAAAAATAGTTCAATAAAAATAGTTAAAATGGTAAAATGCATTTTCTCATAATTCTGGAGAACAGAAGTCCGATATCAAGATGCTAGCAGGGTTGGATTTCTCTCTCCTTGGCTTGCAGATGGCTGTCTTCTCCCTGTGTCTTCACATGGTCTTTCCTCTGTGCCTGGCTGTGGCTGTGTCCAAATCTCCTGGTTTATTTATTTATTTATTTATTTATTCATTCTTGAGACGGAGTCTCGCTCTGTCGCCCAGGCTGGAGTGAAGTGGCGCGATCTTGGCTCACTGCAACCCCGCCTCCCAGGTTCAAGCAATTTTTCTGCCTCAGCTTCCCGAGTAGCTGAGACTACAGGCATGTACCACCACAATTTTTGTATTTTTAGTAGAGATGGGGTTTCATCATGTTGGCCAGGCTGGTCTTGAACTCCTGACTCAAGTGATCTGCCCACCTCGGCCTCCCAAAGTGCTGGGATTACAGGCATAAGCCACTGCGACTGGCCCAAATCTTCTGTTATTATAAGGATACCAGCCATATGAAATTAAGGCCCACCCCAATGACTTTGTTTTGACCTCTTGGAAGACCATGTCTCCAAATACAATTACATTCTGTGGTACTGGGGTATAGGACTTCAACATAGAAATTTTGAAGACACAGAGCAGCCAATAGCAAATGAGGACAGAGTTTCTGTCTGGGATCATGAAAAAGTTCTGAAAGGGAATAGCTGTGATTGTGCAACATTGTGAATGTACTTAATGCCACTGAATTGTACACTTAAAAATAGTTAAAATGATAAATTTTATGTTATGTTTTACCAGATTTTTTTTCAAAGAAAAAATCAAAAGCTAAGCAACATCTCTTTTGGTCTCTTGATGTGTGGAAAGTCTTAGCTTCCTGGGCTGGAGGGAAGCCCAAGGGTGAAGGGGGAACACAAAGCTGTCTTTGGTATCTCAGTGTTGACGGCCGTCATGTGCAGAAGAGCAGACTGTGTCCTTGTCAAAGCCCACGGATGTGCCAGTGCAAGAGCTACCACCTGGGGTGTCAGGCATGGAGAGGGTGGGACTTCAAGTTTGGAAACAGCACATGCCCAATGCATGAAGCTGCACAGCCTGCTCCTGAAGCTATGGCCAGC
Source organism: Homo sapiens (assembly GCF_000001405.40). NCBI lineage: Eukaryota > Metazoa > Chordata > Mammalia > Primates > Hominidae > Homo > Homo sapiens. The sequence continues at coordinate 161,301,444 of NC_000006.12, forward strand.
AGGAAAAGACAGGAACCCTCGCATGCTCAGGCCAGGACTTAAGTGGCTGGATTCCAGTCCTGTTCTGCCAGCAACATATTTCATAACCTCTCCATCGGGCAAGTCCCTTCTCTAAGAACTGAGGACTAAACTCTGAGGTTTTTTATCTTGCCCACATTCCTATCTAAGTGGTCTGGGGAGTCATGCCTTACAAACCATAAAGTCTCATCAGATGGATTTTATTTAAATCCATACATCATGGCTTACTTTCCAAAGTGACTCTGGCATTTAACATTACAAGACAATCAAAGAAAATAAAAATATTTTACCCCAAAGCATGTTTCTTTGCCATATCTTGAAATGGCCCTGCAAAACTGTCATTTGTGGGGGAAAATTTGCATCTGTAAAGAATCTCTATTAACATAGCTAGATGTTTTTCTTCCAGGCCCTCCCAATCCTAATGAGATTATTAAAAGTTTAGCACCTTTTAAAGGTCTGAATAGGAAACATTTGTCATCTATTGCCTCTAAGGGCAGCCACGATGATAAGACTTCAAAAGAACCTTGGTCTCCACAATCTTACAATCTTTTTTTTTTTTTGATGAAGTCTTGCTCTGCTGCCCAGGCTGGAGTGCAGTAGCACGATCTCGGCTCACTGTGACCTCTGCCTCCCAGGTTCAAGCAATTCTCCTGTCTCAGCCTCTGGGACTACAGGCACCTTCCACCACACCTGGCTAATTTTTTTGTATTTTAAGTAGAGGTGGGTTTTCACCATATTGGTCAGGCTGGTCTCGAACTCCTGACCTCAGGTGATCCACCCACCTTGGCCTCCCAAAGTGGTAGGATTATAGGCATGACCCACTGCGCCTAGCCAGTCTCTACAATCTTTTTTCTTAACCTGAACATTCCCTTTCTATTCATTCCAGGTCTTTACACAAACTCATCCAATTGTCAGCCAGAAAATGTTTAAATTCGCCTACAGTCTGGAAGGCCCCCCACCCCCAACTTTGAGTTGTCCCATCTTTCTGGACCAAACCAATGTATTTCTTAAATGTATTTGGTTGATGTCTCATACCTCCTTATAATGTATAAAACCAAGCTGTGCCCTGACCACCTTGCACACATGTTCTCAGGACCTCCTGAGGGCTGTGTCATGGGCCACGGTCACTCATATTTGGCACAGAATAAATATCTTTAAATATTTTACAGAACTTGACCCTTTTCGTTGACAGAACTTTAGTTTTCTCACCACCAAATGAAGGCACTGGACCAGATTATTTTTGTGTCTTCTCGAAACTCCAACATTCTATGAGTCTACCTAAAACATTAGCGTTCTGACAAATGTTAGTTGAATGAGTCAATGTAAACAGAAGGATTTGTGTCCCCCTTGAGAGAAAACTGGGGGAAGTCCTGGGACCCTTTTAGGGCAGGGAGGAGCTGGATGAACCTGGGCATCTGCCGCCCTCGCCAACAGGAGTTGTGGGAGTGCTCCCTTCCCCAGGAGGTCACAGAAAACAAGCATGTCCAGTGTGCCAGAGGATTCGGACTGAGAGAACTACTCTTTTCCTTTAAGTGTGATTGTTCATCTCAGGATAAAATGGGAAAGGAATGACCAAACCAACAGAACATAAGAAAGAAGAACTCGGAGTCCAGGAAAGTCCTGGTGAGTGAGGGTGGAGGAGACAGAACCGTGGAGAGAGGGGCATGTCCTCAGGAGAGACCAGGTCTCTCCCTCCTCTGGACTCTGCCCTGGGTTCTGCGGCTGTAGGTCAGGCGGGTAGGTATCTGTGGGTGTTGTGGTGGTGTTCTTGTCTATTTGGTGGGGGTGTGGATTGAAAAACAAAGACGTCATGTGGCTTTAGCTAAGAGGGAGGGAACAGAGATACAACCACTAAATCCCTTTCTTTTAATTTTGCAATAATTGCAATTTTTAAAGAATTTTAAGACAGATTCTTGGTATTTGGAAAGCACTGAGTTCTTAGGAAAGAAGGTGCCGACTGCATTGTAAATACCCAACTTCTGTTTTCTGGGAAAATCCAATTTTCTGAAAGAAAACTGGAATTAGATATGGCATGTCAACTTTAAGTGCTATTATACGCACAATTATAATATGTTCTTTTGGCCTCGAAACTCTCAACTTGAAAAGGCGCAATTTGCAATCTCCTTGTGCCCAGAAGGCTCTGAAGAAGAAACACAAGTGAGATAGGTACAGTTTGTGCTCATTGTGCACCAGGGGGGATGAGAAGCTCCACTAAAATCAATTTTCCCCTATCTGAACCTTTCATCTGGAAACAACAAAACAGTTTTCAGATTCCAATAACTTTGAAACATTTACACAATAGAGTACAGGCTTGCCTGTTCTCCTAACTAGCATATTCAGAACATAATTTAACCTTTTTCTTGTTGACTCACTATGAATCATCATTATGAATCAAAACTATAGAATTTTAGTACAAAAAGAGACCCTAGAGATCAGCTAGCTCTGATTTCTTCATATTCTAGATGCCCAAATGCTGGTGTGATTGGAACTGGGTGTGGGGAGCTGGTCTAGAACCCACGACTTCAATTCTTGTCCAGGCTGAGAAGGCCGTGTCCTGGGCCTGGCGCTCATGGCATGTTAACGGCGGTGGGGTGCCCCTGTGGTTGTGGGCGCCACCCAGGCCAGCTGCCCGCTGGCGAAATGGGCTTGGTCTCTTCCTGCTCCGCACACTTTGACATCAGCTCGTTGTGGCTCCCTGTCTCTGCTCTCCCGGGTGGCCAGTGACGCTGTGCGGGGTGCAGCGCCTGTGCTGTCTGCTTCTGAAGGTAATTCTCCCCTCCTCAGGGTACTCTGTACATTCTGCAGGCAGGGGCCTCCCAGGGTCTTTCCTCTAGGAACCCCGTCCGCTCTCAGACCTGCTGCCTCTGGGTCCAGGGCCCGGGTGGCTTTCTTTCCTCTTTACAGCCCCGTCTCCCACACTTTCTGCTCCACTTACAGGACTGGCTGCCAGGTGGGCCACTCAAACCAGAGACATTGATTTCTCAGATCTAGAGGTTTGAGGCCCAAGAGCAAGGTGTCATCAGGGTTGGTGTCTCTGTGGCTTGCAGACAGCTGTCATCTCCCTGTGTCCACATGGTCTTCCCCTGTACCTGTCTGTGTCCCAATCTCCTCCTCTTCAGGGGATACCAGTCATATTAGGCCCTATCCTAATGGCCTATTTGAACTCAATCAACTCTTTACAGACCCAAATACAGTAACTATATGTTAGGACTTCAACATACAAATTTGCAAGGGTCACACTTCTGCCCAAAACAGGCCCCTTTCACCTTTCAGCTTACCGCAGATCACTCTGAGGAAACACACTTTCAAGGTTCCAGAATTGTATAAAATTCTTACAGCTAAGAGCTCCGAATTATAGTTTTAGTCTTACTTGCAAGATGGTAAATGGAATGAGGAAGGATGGATGGAGTCACTCACTGACTCCATGAGGATTTTTTCACACATCATTGCAACACAGGCAGTGACTGACGCCACCACCTTTGCCCTGGAGGCTGGTTTCTGGGCCCTGCCGGTGCGGGACATAAAGGCCGGGTGGCTGCCTCTGGGCTGCAGAGCAGGAGGCACGGGAAAAGCTGGGGTTGGGGACATCCAGGAATGGCAGCCCTGGAGCCAGGACGCGGTTGGGGGCCTCCTGGGTTGGCAGTATCACTGGGGGTTTTAACCCCTTTCTAGTCCTGTGCCCTTCCGCTTAAGTGATAGTAGGCGAAGAAAAGGCCACGGAAAATACACTGGTCACCTGGGTACGAGGGAGTAATTAAAAACCAGCTGAGGCCGGGCGCGGCGGCTCACGCCTGTAACCGCAGCACTTTGGGAGGCCGAGGCGGGCGGATCACCTGAGGTCAGGAGTTCAAGACCAGCCTGGCCAACATGGCGAAACCCCATTCTACTAAAAATACAAAAATTATCTGGGCATGGTGGCGGGCACCTGTAGTCCCAGCTACTCAGGAGGCTGAGGCAGGAGAATCACTTGAACCCGGGAGGCAGAGGCTGCAGTGAGCCGAGATCACACCACTGCACTCCAGCCTGGGCAACAAGATAGAAACTCTGTCTTGAAATAAAATAAATAAAATAAAATGAAATAAAATAAAAACCAACTGAAAGCCAGGTGCAGGGGCTAATGCCTGTAATCCCAGCAGTCTGGGAGACTGAGGTGGGGGGACTGCGTGAGCCTAGGAGTTAGAGACCAGCCTAGGCAATACAGCAAGACTCCATCTCTTAAAAAAAAAAAAAAGTTAAAAATTAGCTGAGCATGGTGGCACATGCCTGTAGTCCTAGCTACTTAGAAGGCTAACTTGAGCCCAGGAGTTTGAAGGTGAAGAGAGCTATGATTATGCTACTGCACTCCAGCCTGGGCAGCAAATGAGACCCTGTCACTAAAAAGAATAAAATTAAAAAAAAATATAACTGAGCAAGTTTTTCTTCTCAACTATGTCTGAGGAGAACAAAAAGTTCTTTGTAGGTACAGTGGATTCAGAACTCGGCATCTGGTCCCACAAAACCAGATGTTCATCCAGCTGAGCCTAGGACCCTTGGGTGCCTGTCTCTCCATCCTTCCTAACACAGACCTCGGTGCCAGCCAGCCTGTCCTTCTCAGTGTCAGGGAGCTCCGTCCCGGCCCTTCCCACATCCTGCCCAGGACTGGCTGTGCAGGGAAGGTCACCCCTCAGTGTCTGCCCACTCTCTAAGCCCTGGACCCAAGCAGGGCACCCAGGCCAGCCCTCTTCCTTTACTCATTTTCTTATTCATCTTAAAAGGAATAACTGAGAAGCTGGAGACCAACCCTGCAGGCTGGATGTGCTGCTTGAGAACTAACAGCCCCCAAAGAGAGATCAAAGATGCCAGAGAAAAGGGGAATAAATAGAGCAACCTCCCAGAAGATGCATGAAGGATACAAGAACAGAGATGACAGAGGGGTTGGTTTTATCAGCGAAAAGAAATAATTCTTACTCAGCAAGAGAAGGAAACGGGAAGGAGAAAATGGAGGGGCTCAGTTTACTTAAGGATGTGGGCATTAGCAAGAGGTAAAGTCTAATAATTTTTACCACTAAAAGGGACCTTGAGGACCCCCTGACCCAGCTTTATATACAGCCAGGACTCAGAAAGAACAAGAGCAACAAGAGCGTATTGCCAGTTATACTGAGGCCTCACTGGAGCTTTAGGGCATGCATGTGGGGTGGAGCAAATCTACCAAAACAGAATTCTGGGGTTGGAAATCCAGATGGTAGCAGGGCAGAGGTTGGAGTTAAGTCGTCTGTGAGGGTCAAGGATGGGGGCATCATCTAGGACTGCCAGCTGAGGTGGCCCATAGATAGAAGGCATTAGAAGGCCAAGGAATGGCCAGGCATGGTGGCTCATGCCTGTAATCCCAGCACTTTGGGAGGCTGAGGCAGGCGGATCACAAGGTCAGGAGATCGAGACCATCCTGGCCAACGTGATGAAACCTTGTCTATACTAAACATACAAAAATTAGCTGGGCGTGGTGGTGCGTGCCTGTAGTCCCAGCTACTCGGGAGGCTGAGAGAGGAGACTTGCTTGAACCAGGGAGGCGGAGGTTGCAGTGAACCAGATGGTGCCTCTGCACTCCAGCCTGGTGACAGAGTGAGACTCTGCATCAAAAAAAAAAAAAAGAAGGCCAAAGAACCCTGAAGTTGAGGCATATATTAGTCAGGGTTCTGTAGAGGGACAGAACTAAACTAATAGGATAGATGTATACATGAAGGGGAGTTTATTAAAGAGAATTAACTCACGAGCACAAGGTGAAGTCCCACAGTAGGCTGTCTGCAAGCTGAGGGGCCAGGAAGCCAGTCGAGTCCCAAAACCTCAAAAGTAAGGAAGCCAACAATGCAGCCTTCAGTCTGTGGCCAAGGGCCTGAGAACCCCTGACAAACCACTGGCTTAAGTCCAAAAGTCCAAAAGCTGAAGGACTTGGAGTTTGATGTTCCAGGGCAGGAAGCATCCAGCACAGGAGAAAAACGGAGGCCAGAAGACTCAGCAAGTTAGCTCCTTCCACCTTCTGCCTGCTTTATTCTAGCTGTGCTGGCAGCTGATTAGATGGTGCCCATTTGGATTGAGGGTGGGTCCACCTCTCCCAGCCCATTGACTCAAATGTTAATTAATGTCCTTTGGCAACACCGTCACAGGCACACCCAGGAACAATACTTTGCATCCTTCAATCCAATCGAATTGACACTCAGTATTAACCATCACAAGGTGTCAGAAAGGTCAACTTGAGTGTGAACATCACTACGTGTGATCTGGCTGGCTGGTGGCATCCCATGCCATCTTCCATGGCCTTCTGCAAAGCCCTTCTGAGCCAAGACAAAGCAGGGGGTTTGGTCCATCTTCTTTCTGATTTATATTTATAAGCGTCCTCTCTGCTTTCTCCTTTACTAAATATCCATCCAAGTGCTGTTGGGCCATCCGCATCTGTGGTGCACCTCCAGCACGAAGGCCTGGCACAGGCTCAGGTGAGGGACTCTGCATAGCAGGGGCCCCTCTCCAGTCCTCCTTGGACTTGGCCAGGAGACCCTGTGATATGGCTCTGATGAGTGAAGGAACTCCAGGTTCTTCATCTCACGTCAAATTGGAAAAACCTACAGGGACACACAGGGAGTGGTTTTAAGGAGCGGAGACTTTAATAGGCAAGAAGGAAGGGAGAAGAAAGAAGGAAGAAGTTCCCCTGTTCAGAGACAGAGGGAGGTGGGCTCCAAAGCCTAGAGAGAAGACCCCACATGCTAGGTACAGGAAGAGGCTGGAGCAGGCGGTGTCTGATTTGCATAGGGCTCAGGGGATTGGTTTGACTAGGCATGTCATTCACATAGCCCGGGAAACAAACTGGCCCTCCCACCCTAGCTTTTAATATGCAAATGCAGGGCACCATGATGTTCTAGGCACGTGGGGATATGGGGGGCAGCCATGTTGCCAGGCAAATGCGAGGGCAAGGAGAAAAGGGAGGGAATCATCATGTTGGAGTGGAACCAGTTTCTAATGGCCTGCAATTGCATATCAAAGGTTGCCTGCCCGGCTCTAAATGCTGGGGCTTTCCTGTTAGACAAGAAAGGTTTGGGCCAGGTGCAGTGGCTCATGCCTGTAATCCCAGCACGATGGGAGGCGGAGACAGGTGGATCACCTGAGGTCAGGAATTCGAGACCAGCCTGGCCAACATGGAGAAACCCCGTCTCTACTAAAAATACAAAAAATTAGCCAGGCTTGGTGGTGGGCGCCTGTAATCCCAGCTACTCGGGAGGCTGGGGCAAGAGAATCGCTTGAACCCAGGAGGCGGAGGTTGCAGTGAGCAGAGATAGCCCACTGCACTCCAGCCTGGGCAATAAGAGCAAAACTCCATATATTAAAAAAAAAAAAGGAAAATAAATAAACATTTGAGGAGCTGCTTTAAAAGAGATGAAAAGTTTCCAAGGACCCCTTTTCCTATCTGCCTAAAATTATTTCTTAATAACTCCTACCACATTTGGACTCTTGGTCTTCTGAGGGCCTCCACTGTGGGCCAAAGAGTCTGCCTTGTGCCCACCCATGGCCCAGCCCAGTCCTCAGGAACCTGCTAAAACCTCTGGGCAGAAGCGGGGGCTCAGGCGAACCCAACCCATCTGCCACAGTCCCACCTTCTGGGAGTTGGGGTTTGTGGAGGCAGCTTACTCGTGCCCCACCAATGATTTCTGACCCTAAGATCTAGTCTTCTTCATCTTTTTATTAGAAAAAAATATTTGGTCTGTAGATTGTAAGCTCCTTGAGATGAGAGATGATATCTTTTCCTCTAATTTTATATTGTGAAAAATTTCAAAACAACACAAACAGGTGCATGATAAATACAACGAAAACCCCTAGACTCTTCGTCTAGGTTCACTGATTTTTAATATTTTGTAACATCTGCTATCTTTATTTTTTATTTTATTTATTTATTTATATTTTTTTGAGAGAGTTTTGCTCTTGTTGCCCAGGCTGGAGTGCAATGGTACGATCTTAGCTCACCCACAACCTCCACCTCCCAGGTTCAAGCAATTCTCCTGCCTCAGCCTCCTGAGTAGCTGGGATTACAGGCATGCACCACCATACCCGGGTAATTTTGTATTTTTAGTAGAGATGGGGTTTCTCTATGTTGGTCAGACTGGCCTCCAAGTCCTGTCCTCAGGTGATCTGCCCACTTCAGCCTCCCAAAATGCTGGGATTACAGGTGTTATAAATAAAGTTTTGGAGCCGCAAAAGAAATAGCACTCAAATATAAGATTTTCTTTTTAATTCTCAGCAAGGCAATGTACTTCTATAGAATGGTGCACCCTTACAGATGCAGCAATGGTGAGCGCACACTTGGACCAGGGAGGGGAAGGGGTTCTTATCCCTGACCCACGTGGCCCCTGCTGCTGTGTCATTCTCCTATTGGCTAGGGTTAGACTGCACAGGCTAAACTAATTCCGACTGGCTAATTTAAAGAGAGTGACGGGGTGAGTGGTTTGGCAGGAGAAATGGTTATGATACAGCAGGAAATTGAAATGACTCAGGGCAGAGAATGAGCAGGTAATCTGAACGAGTCAGGGTGGAGCAGGTAATCGGAATGAGTCAGGGTGCAGCAGGTAATCGAAAAAGTTTGCTTTATGAGGAGTTAAGTTTAAAAGTAGAAGACAAAGAGTTGAACATACTGACATATTGATTCTTTGAAGAGAAATTTAGAACTCATATCTAACAACCCCTCCTCTTGCATTTCCTTACAGTTCTTTCTCTTCAAACTTCTTTAATATGTCTTAGCTTAGTTGTTCTGCTTGATTTTCTAAAAGAAGAATCTTCTCTGGATAAGGTGGAGGATAGTGAAGGGAGGTTTCAGTAAGTGCCATTTTTATGAGCCTCTGCATCAACCCACGGATGCATGGTGTGACACAGCACCCGACAAGAATAAGTACACCCATTACTGCTGCAAGGGAAGTAAGAATTGAGACTATTATTCCACTCCATTTACAAAACCACTTTTCTAGCCATCCTGTAAAGGGGTCATTTACCCGTAAGTTGTTGGCTAACTCACTGGACAGAGCAGTCAGACCTTGCAATGCCTTTGTTATACTTCCATCAGGGGCGATGTTGTTTGGGATGAAGGTACAACATTGAGTTTTAATCATAATGCAAACTCCTCCTCTTTCTGCTAATACCATGTCTAAGGCTATCCTATTTTCCCAAGCCATCTGGCCTGTAGCCCCTAATGGCTCAGCTATTCCTTCAACAGCATCTCTAGTGTAGTTACTAAATCACTGTTGGTTGTAGTAGATGTAGTTTATCCAATCTACATTTTTATTAATTGTCACCCACCAAGATATTGACTCAAATCCTGCAGCTATTTGATTTCGGAATTCAAATTGATCTGGTATTCCCCGTGGGACTCCAGTTGCGTTTAAATAGACATGAGAGTCGAAAGACCCATAAGGGGCTTCTCTCGCATTATGATGTCTTATTTTTCCTTCCTCTAGTTGATGAAATGCCAGGGTGAAACGGATAGCCAATTGGACTAAAGCACAAGTGCCGCTCCAGTTATTCGGCAGAGTGTCCAGTAAAGGTCCACCAGAATACCACCACACATCCACTAGGGGATGAACAAGGGCTGACTGATTGATAAGTTCTTGAAAATTCTTAAGCTCACTGCATCCCCTCAGGTCTCCAAGGAATGCTGTTTCCTCCCTGTCGTGAGAGATATGAAGTTAACTTAGTGTTGGGAGACAGAAGCTGGATGGCCCTCAGGGGCTGGCCCATAGGATGCCGGACTTCGGGATATAGCAGAGAGAGAGCATGGCACAACTTGTTACTCCAGGCTGTAGGATCCGGGAAAAGAGCTATCATGCAGCCCACTCCTGGTCAACTGGAGGACCACCCTACTAGAAAGGGGACAATCTGGGCCTCTGGCCTGCCATGCACACAAGCATAACAATTGCTTTCGTTTAAAGTGCGGACGGAATATCTGATCCATTCCAACCAGGCATTTGCAACTTGGTAACCTGTTTCAATTGCCAATACTTGTTTTAAGTCTTTAACTTCTACGACAGCCATCTTGGTCTTGTGGTTAGATGGAGGAGGAGCAATTATTCCGTTGTGAGAGGTTTTGGAAGAAGGCTTAGAAGAAGGTGCAGGCAGTGCGGGATCAAAGAAATACATTTTAAAGAATCCAATAGGGTCTGTCCCTCAAACCTCAACCCCCATACCATAAAACTGGCTTAAAGGAGGGAACCGGCTTAGAAAAGGGGAAGAAGTTTGAGGATTCGAGATAATAACCTGTATAGGATTGCACTGGTTTAGCTGACACTTAGTGGGGGGCTGTCCCTCTAGTAACATGAATGTACAGTTTTAGGAAATTACAAAAACAGGTTGGGGCGGTCCATCCTTGCTCTTTAGTGGTCCACAGAATGCTGGACCAACTATGGCATAAAAGCTGTACATTGGGAGGGCAAGACTCCTGGTTGACGCCGGGGTCTTTATCAAAATCTCCTCGGATTAAATGGTCCCAGTTCACTAATGCCTAATCTGAGAAGAGTCAGGAGGGACAGAGGTGCTTTTCTGAAGTAGAGAGCTGTCTCTGACTTGGCAAGTTCCCACAGGGTATAACAAGGCAAGCACCAAATGCAATAGTTTGAGGCGAAATTGACTTGGTTATGTTAATAACTAGATGGTCAGCAATAGAGTGAGGAAAGAAGAAAAAGTAATAGAATAGATGAAAGAGTTAAATTTTTCTTAGCTTTAGTTTGGTAGCGTTTTCCCCTGGGACTATGGCCCACGACTCTGGAGAAGGCGGTGCTTTTTTGACTCGGGTGTGATGAGTCCATCCCCTTTCCACTGTATGAACAGCAGTCTCGGTGATTAGTAACACAAGGTAAAGTCCTTCCCAGGCTGGCTCAAGTTTTCCTTCTCCCCACCCTTTGATGAGAATGTGATCCTCAGGCTGGTGCTGGTTTACCGGAAATTCTAGGGCTGGTACCTGTGCTAAAAGACTTTTAGTTTTGAGGGAAAGGAAAGTAGAAGATAAACCAAGTATATAATTTCTAAGAAATTGATCTTTTGTTTTACATGTGGGGACATCAGCAATGGACTTTATAGTCCTTGGCACCTTCTTGCTGAGAAATTTTCTTTAGCACCTATTTTTATTATTTTTTAGACCAAAGAAAGCCAAACACCGTTTTATATTTGCCAATGCTTCCTGTATGATATTTATACCAGATAAGCTAAATTTCACCTTTACATTAGTGTGTTTTTAATGTTAAAGTTAATTTTAATAAAATCTTGTAGCCATATTTATCCAATTTTTAATGTCTGACCATATGGTAAGATTTGTATAGATGCTTTTTAACCTTTTATAATTTTTGTTAAAAAGCAGGTTAGTGCTTTAAGAAAAACATGTTGTGCTTTTATTTTAATGTCCAGTTCTCAGAAAAACTGGGTGATATCCCTTTAACTTTACCCAATATGTTTACACACAGAATTTCCTTTTCAATTAACATTTCAAAACTTGCCTAAACCTTTAAAACAATTTTTTTTTAACCATTTAATGTAGGTAAAAATCCACACTCTTATGTCTCCTTATAATCCTTTTACCAAAGTACGTTTTACTTTCCTTACACACCTTACACATAAACTGTTTCTTCAATAGTTTTACATTCAGGAGGCCTAATTACTTTTAAATTATACAACATTTCTTGCATAAATTCCCTTTTATAACTTTTTTTTCCCATAACTTTCACAGACAATTCTTCAACATGCCTCAACTTTCTGATTTGTTGCAAACATCCCTTTCTCTAAACAACCAGTTCATTTATTTTAGGACAAGAATTTACCATATAATATTCCTTTTTACATAAATTCTCTCCCCCCTCCTTTGTTTTTTCTCAAAGATGATAACCATTCTTTTCCAAATTGAACTTCCTTCATTTCTGTGGACTAGACTGTCTAAGGCCACAAGATTAGACGTTAGGATAATACATGTTACACTCTTAACTTTTAGCAAACTTTACTTTTGTTGAAAACCTTGTAAGTTTGGGATTTCAATTATTCTTTGCTATTAATAAGACCTCGTTCAGTCCATATTAACTTAGAATTAGTATAGATGACTCCTTCCTGATTCTGTAAGCACTTTAAGGCTTGGCTGAGTGCAAACAGCTCGCAGGCACGTTTGAGCAGACCAATTGTTAGGCAATTTTCCTAACTTGGCTTCTCCAAGAGTTTCCTTATCACTTACTGAATACCCATTGTGTCTTTTTCCTTCAATCACCCAGGAGGAAGCATCTACAGTCCTGTCCTGAAGGTAGTTCCTCCTAGGTCTGGTTGGACCTTTGTATGGTAATTAAGATTTAGATGCCCTGTTAGGAAACCTGGTGGGTTAAGGGAATTTTCAGTGGTTCATGTTAAATCATCTTTTTCTAACAGAATAGCCTCATACTTTAAGGTTCTTGAGTCAGTAAGCTATCTTTTGTTTTCTTTTTGACTTAGGATAGTTCTGACCTGATGAGGTGTGCTCACAATGAAGTTTACTCTAAAAGTTATTTTTCTACTTTCTTCTGTTAGCGAAGCAGTTTCCACTACAGATTGAATGCATTTGGGCCATCCACGGGTTACTGGGTTAAGGATTTTTGATTAGGAAGGCTACGGGTTGTCAGTCACCTCAGGGCTTTTGGGTTACAACCTTGTTTACACTGGCAACAAGGTGGTATTGGAGTGTTATAGGGTCAGGGAGAAGACCTTCAATTATTAATTATAGGTTTTAAATTTACCCTGGCTTTTAAAGGAATAGGGTACACTGTTTTCTCTTTACTACTCTCCCTCTCTCTGTTTGTCTCTGTCTCTTTCTCTCTCTCTGCCTCTCTCTCTCTTTGACTCTGTCTCTTTCTCTGCCTCTGCCAGCCGCTTATGCTGCTCTTCTCCCCTCTCCTTCCCCTTCCCCTAGGGGAGGGACCGGTGGGAGTGCAGCTACTCTTTCTTTCCCTGAGAAGAAAGGAAAGGGGAGTTCTGAATATTTTTCTTACTACAGGAGGTTTGTGTGAGGTTCAACCCCCTGAAATTTGCGGAAGGCTCAACCCCTCAAACCAGGGGGTGTCTTGCCTTGCTGCTCTAGAAGGTTGACCTGTTTCCTCCCTTTCCCCCTCTGAAGGTCCCTTGCACACTTCCCACTCGTGTTGTCCTCTCTGGCTGCTCCCCCAAGGGAGAGTTAGGCCCCTCTTAGTGTTAGAGTGCCGGTATAAATCCCATGGCAGGATCCGCCCTAAGCTATATGAGGTAGCTACGGAACCCCGGAGAGGTCCCACTCACTCTGTCCAGCAGTAGGACTTGTCACCATCCACACGAAGAACACCACAAGTAGGGTTGTTTGTGATCATTCACACACACACACATTTAGCCCTCCAGAATTTGACCAACAAGGAAGTACTTTACCGGCTCCCGCGGCTTCTCCTTCCTTGGTCTGTGCACAGAGTCACCTCTGCAGTATGTGAGGATCCTTTAAGCTAGGTTGCTGGCCAGTTTCTTTCTGCGTTGCTGAGAGCTCGGGTTATTCCTGGAACTGGGTGGGTCCTGATTTCTCACCCCTGAGGCCCCCACAAGGCGGCGGGGCGCACGTCCTCACCAGAGAGAACCAGAGACTGCCCGGAAGGGGAATGTATCACGAGGGAGCCCCCAAATTGTTATAAATAAAGTTTCGGTGCTGCAAAAGAAATAGCACTCGAATATAAAATTTTCTTTTTAATTTTCAGCAAGTCAATGTACTTCTATAGAAGGGTGCGCCCTTACAGATGGGGCAATGGTGAGTGCACACTTGGACCAGGGAGGGGAAGGGGTTCTTATCCCTGACGCACATGGCCCCTGCTGCTGTATCCTTTCCCTATTGGCTAGGGTTAGACTGCACAGGCTAAACTAATTCTGATTGGCTAATTTAAAGAGCGTGAGGGGGTGAGTGGTTTGGTGGGAAAAATGGTTAAGGGCAGAGCAGGAAATTGCAATGAGTCAGGGTGGAGCAGGTAATAGGAATGAGTCAGGATGGAGCAGGTAATCCGAAGGAGTCAGGGTGAAGCAGGTAATCAGAATGAGTCAGGGTGAAGCAGGTAATCGGAATGAGTCAGGGTGGAGCAGGTAATCGGAATGAGTCAGGGTGGAGCAGGTAATCGGAATGAGTCAGGGTGAAGCAGGTAATCCGAATGAGTGTCAGGGTGGAGCAGGTAATCGGAATGAGTCAGGGTGAAGCAGGTAATCCGAATGAGTGTCAGGGTGGAGCAGGTAATCGGAATGAGTCAGGGTGCAGCAGGTAATCAGAATGAGTCAGGGTGAAGCAGGTAATTGAAAAAGGTTGCTTTACGAGGAAGTTAAGTTTAAAAGTAGAAGGCAAAGAATTGAATATACTGACATATTTATTCTTTGAAGATAAATTTAGAACTCATATCTAACACAGGCGTGAGTAACCGCACCCGGCCCGTATCTGCTATCTTTAAAGAGATACATATACACATTTTATGTATATATATATATATGCGTGTGTATATATATATATGACAATGGTCCCATAAAATAATAATGGAGCTGAAAAATTCCTATGGCCTATTGACATCATAGCTGTCCTAACATCACAATGCAGCACTGTAAACAAATCCACTGTGGGGCCAATCATATAAAAATCTAGCACATACAATTATGTACTGTGCATAATGCTGGGTAATGATAATAAATGACAATGTGGCTGGTTTAGGTATTACTAGCCTATACTTTTTAATCATTATTTTAGAGTGTATGCCTTCTCTTTATAGAAAAAAGTTAACTGTAAAACAGTCTCAGAGAGATCCTTCAGGAGGTGTCCAGAAGAAGGACAGTGATCATAGGAGATGCAGCTTCATGGGTGGCCTTGCCCCTGAAGACCTCCCAGTGGGACCAGATGTCAGAAGACAGTGATATTGGTGATCCTGACCCTGTGTGATCTTAGGTGTATGTGTGTGTGTTTGTATATTAGTTTTTAAGAAAAGGTTTTAAGAGTAAAAAAAAAAAATTAAAAATAGAAAAAAGCTGATTGATAGAATAAGGACCTAAAGCAAGAAAATTTGTTACAGCTGTACAATGTGTTTGTCTTATAAGCTTTGTTATTACAAATGAGTCCAAAGGTTTTTTAAAAATGAAAAAGTTTTTAAAGTAAAAAAGTTACAGTAAGATAAGATCAATTTATTACTGAAGAAAGAAATTTTTTAAATGAATTTAGTCTAGCCTAAGTGAACGGTGTTGAGCGGAAAGTCATATCCTCGGCCTTCACACTCACTCTCCACTCACTCACTGACTCACCCAGAGCAACTGCCAGTCCCACAGGCTCCAGTCAGAGTAAATGCCCTACACAGGTGTACCAATTTTTTTCTTTTATACTGTATACTGGATTTTGCTGTACCTTTTTTTTTTTTGAGATGGAGTTTTGCTCTTGTCACCCAGCTTGGAGTGCAGTGGTATGATCTTGGCTTACTGCAACCACCTCCTGGGTTCAAGCAATTCTCCTGCCTCGGCCTCCTTAGTAGCTGGGATTACAGGTGCCCGTCACCACACCCAGCTAGTTTTTGTATTTTTAGTAGAGACGGAGTTTTGCCGTGTTGGCCAGGCTGGTCTCGAACTCCTGACCTCAGGTGATCCACTCACCTTGGCCTCCCAATGTGTTGGGATTATGGGCATGAGCCACCGCTCCTAGCCCTTGCTGCACCTTTTCTATGTTTAGATGCACAAAAACCGTTGTGTTACAATTATCTACAGTATTCAGTAAAGTCCCATGCTGTACAGGTTGGTAGCCTGAGAGAAACAGGTGCCTCATGGGCTATACCATCTAGGTTTGTGTAAGTGTACTCTAACATGTTTACACAACAAAGTTGCCTAAGAATGCATTTTTTTTTTTTTAATTTGAGACGGAGTCTTGCTGTGTTGCCCAGGCTGGAGTGCAGTGGCGTGATCTTGGCTCACTGCAACCTCCCTCTTCTGGGTTCAAGCGATTCTCCTGCCTCAGCCTCCCCAGTAGCTGGGATTATAGGAGTGCACCACCATGTCTGGCTAATTTTTGTATTTTTAGTAGAGACGGAGTTTCCATGTTGGCCAGGCTGGTCTCGAACTTCTGACCTCAGGTGATCTGCCCTCCTCAGCCTCCCAAAGTGCTGGGATTACAGGTGTGAGCCACCGTAACAATGGATTTCTCAAAACACCTGGCCCTAACAATGGATTTCTCAAAACATATCCTCATTGTTAAGAGAGGCATGACTGTATGTACACAGTATATACACATTATATATATGTGTGTGTGTGCTTATGTGTATATATACATATGTGTATGTGTATATGTACATATAGTGGCAATGATCGTGCTGTCAGGTTCTACAAAATCCTCTTTGTACCCAAACACTGCTGATCCAACAAACGTGACCACAGTGGAATCTGTATGTGTACATATACACACACATATGTATATACTTTTTGCCAAACTGTTTGATGTCGTAGACATCATGATACTTCACCCCTAAATATATATCTCTCAAGAATAATGACATTCTCCTACTCAATTACAATATAATTATACTCTTTGGGAATTATACATTGCCACAATAGTAGGATCTAACACAATGTCTTCTAGAGCTCGTTTTTTTTCCAGAGATGATGTAATCTTTACCTTTGATTCTGCTCTTTTGCCCCTCTCTGCTTAACCTGCTCCACTCAGGATCTAGCAAGAGATGTCACACATAAGGCCCCAAATAACTTAGGGAGTTGAATGAATGAAAGAATGGATGCATAAATGTGAAAATCCTTTCTGATGTGTCTTCAGGACGTGGAAAGGTGCATGACCCCATGTGGGAATTCAGTGACCTTCAAGCCCTTCTCATTGGTCTAGACAGAAACCTTACACCTGGCAGGATATGCATTTTGCAGCTGAGGCTCTTTGTGAGCAGTTTGGTGATATTTAAGTTCCTGGTGATTAGGGAAACCGTCAGGAGCTTGGCAAACCTATTCAAAATACAACATATTAAAATTCCTGTTAATCATAGATCTTAAAAGCACTGGGCTACAACACTTGGTTAAAGTACCAAAAATGCAAACCAGTTATTATGAAAACAAAGCCGGGGAAGTAGGTGGCACTGCATTGTAGGAGTCTACATTCAGCAACAAAAGAGGGCACAGGCTCTACTGTGGTCACATTCATTGCATCAGCAGTGTTCGGTACAAAGAGGCTTTTGTGAAACCTGACGGCACGATCATTGCACAGGCACACCATTGAACGAAGGCAGACTTTCCCCTTCTATGAAAGGATAATTTTCTTCTCATATTTGACACCGATTAGCTCTAGCAGAGAATTCTATTTAAAGCAATCCCTTGAAATTAGACCATGTATGCCAAGGGCAGGGCTGTGTATTCAGCCCTGTCTTCCTAGCAACTTTAGCGATGTATCCTAAGTATGGGAGGAGGGCACTGAAAAAGTGAGGCATGAAAGAGATATATCTAATAATCATGACTACTTACTATCACAACTTAGAAGAAATAGCTGGATTTCAATCTCTTTTCCCAATCCGACGGTTTATTATTTTCCTTTTTTCTTCCAAAATTTCATACGCATCCCAAGTTTTAGCATAATGATATCAGCAGCAAGTTGTTAAATAAGTTCTGTGGGCTCATCAAAGCAATTATCTTAAAGTGTTCTATGAAACAGCATTGGTTCAGTGCTGATTGCGTTATAAACTTTGAAATGAAGAGCACTGCACTTTAGAAACTCCAGGTTATGAAGAATTTTCTGTTTTTCATTTTGGCCTCCTTCTCTACTAACCAATGTGTTTGAAAACCTGTAATGTGACTCTTCAGGTTAGAGGGTGAGTTTTTTAACCCTTCCCCAGCTCTCAACACTATCCCTCTCCATCTCCAGCCTTTGAGTTCTGTCTAGCACTCACCATAGGATATGTCCTGATGAAAGCCTCATTGTTCCACATCTGAGAAGATCAGTTGCTGTGCACAGCTGCATGGGAACTGGATCCAGTCCCCATCTGGATCTAGGAACAAATCGGTCCCTAGCAGCTTGACAACTGCTCATTGTCTAGTCAAGGGGGTTGCTTTCTTTTCCTGGAAAACGTCTTCCAGGGTACATTTGATATGAAGTTTTCACTGCTCATAAAGTTAGGGGGAAGGAGACTGGAAGCTCAGGGCAGAGGTACCACAGTTATCAAGTTCTATTTGTTTTGCAAACTCTAGGTTTTCTTTATTATGTGTTTCCTTTGTCCACATGAATCTTGTGGACATTTCTTGGTCTAAATTAATGGTATTTTCTCCTGAACAGTGGTTCTTCAAATATTACCCAAAATGAAGGAGGGAAGGATCATTTTTAAAAATCCCAAGTAGTTCTATTTTATTTGTACAAGTGAATAATTTCCTACAGGATAAAATAAAAGACATTGATAATAAGAATACTAGTAACTATTGTTTAAGAAGCATGGTTACTATTACAATAGTGGAATTTAAGGACATGTTTTGGTTATTTTATAAATTGCATTATTCTATCCTGTATCTTTTAAATTGAGTAATAGATTTCTTAAAAGAAGCTTATAAGATATTAGTTAGAACAATCAGCATATTTGATAAATAAAATGACAACCAGTAAAACTGCCACCTCCCTGGATGAAAAAAGCATTGTATTATTCCCACTGTGAAGGGAGGATAGTGACATCAGATAAGAGTTAGGAAAGTGAAATTGTTGGCAAAATCAGCCGGTGTCTTTATGAAACATTGTCTTCATGAAACATTGTCTTGGATGACATTTCACCTAGTCACCAATGTCTTCCAGTGACGCCACCTGTTTGCTTTCACACACCTGTGGGAAGACAGAATGTTTGATTCTGGCATATTTTTTACAGTTTGAATTAAAACCAACTGACTGAACTTGGTGGATTGAGTGAGAAAATAATCCTTGTAGGATAGTCTTCTCCACCTGGTGGTGATGCACTCACTTTGAGGCTAATGATGCAGGTGAAAAAAAAAATCTTTGCTTTGACAACTCCTGTCCCTAAAGAAAGTACTGTGCAGAGAAGCAGTTAAGATCCTAAACCCTGGACTCCAACAAAGTAAGGTTAGACTACTTTCTAGCTGGGCAAACTTTAGTAAGTTAACTTCTTCAAGAATCTATTTCTGCCGGGCACGGTGGCTCACGCCTGCAATCCCAGCACTTTGGGAGGCCGAGGCGGGCGGATCACTAGGTCAGGAGATGGAGACCATCCTGGCTAACACGGTGAAACCCTGTCTCTACTAAAACTACAAAAAATTAGCCTGGCATGGTGGCAGGCGCCTGTGGTCCCAGCTCCTCAGGAGGCTGAGGCAGGAGAATGGCGTGAACCCAGGAGGCAGAGCTTGCAGTGAGCCAAGATCATGCCACTGCACTCCAGCCTGGGCAACAGAGCAAGACTCCGTCTCAAAAAAAAAGAAAAAAAAGAATCTATGTCTTCGTATGCTAGATGAAGTCAACTCTTTCAGAGGGCTGAAAGAGAAAAGCGAAATTAGATCATATGTATGAAATTCTTACATGGTGCCTGGCACATAAGTGCTTAATAAACAATTGCAATTAGTATTATTAACTCTAATCAGATATTGTTGTTTTAAACAAGGGAGTCACTCAAAAAGGTACATGCAGACTTCTCTGTAAGAAAAAAATATATATATATATGTTTACACACACATACACATACACACACACACAAATATATAAGGCTAGGTCTTAATGCCTCTTTCCTCAAATCAAAGCAAAAATCTGTTTCCTTGTCCAGTTACTTCTATTTAGTTTGGGAATTAGGCCTTCCAGTCCATGCATTTAATTCTATTCCTGGCCTGCTTAAATTAGAATGAGCCTCAAAGATAGAAGACCAAGACATACAGGTGCTTGTATACCTATATACAACAAGGTATATAGGTATTTATTTTCATATTCAGAAAAAAATCTAGT
The DNA here is from genome assembly GCF_000001405.40 of Homo sapiens. NCBI lineage: Eukaryota > Metazoa > Chordata > Mammalia > Primates > Hominidae > Homo > Homo sapiens. Next base: position 161,321,410 of record NC_000006.12, read on the forward strand.
TTTTACCCATACATTCATTCAAGACACATTTATTAAACACCAAATTGGTAGCAAGAATGAACATATTAGTAATAATTTTTCTCTCAGAAAAATATATCCTATTTTCTATATTTATTTTCTATAGATTCTCTTTTAATGTTTGTTTGCATCTTGCAAATTTCCATGTTACTTTCTGGCTTAACTACCTCAGGCTGGGCACGGGAGATGATTCTATGGAGAGTTAAAACTTTTTCTTTTTCTTTTTCTTTTTCTTTTTTTTGATATGGAGGCTTGCTCCGTTGCCCAGGCTGGAGTGCAGTGGCGCGATCTCAGCTCACCGCAACCTCCGCCTCCTGGGTTCAAGTGATTCTCCTGCTTCAGCCTCCTGAGTAGCTGGGATTACAGGTGCCCACCACCACACCCAGCTAAGTTTTGTAGTTTTAGTAGAGATGGGGTTTCACTATGTTAGCCAGGCTGGTCTTGAACTCCTGATCTCAGGTGATCCACCCGCCTCGGCCTCCCAAAGTGCTGGGATTACAGGCATGAGCCACTGCGCCTGGCAAAAACTTTCTTAAATATATGTATAATATATAAAAACCAAGGATAAAAGTGATGCTTAAAAATAAACTCATTTGAGTTATAGGAGTAGAAACGGAGTGCCCCAAATGCCCCTGGTAAAATGGATGCACCCAGGCACAGTGGCTCACGTCTGTAATCTCAGCACATTGGGAGGCCAAGGCGGGTGAATCACTTGAGCCCAGAGGTTTGAGACCAGCCTGGGCAACATGGTGAAAACCCCATCTCTACAAAACATTTTAACAAAATTAGCCAGGTGTGTTGATGCACATTTGTCCCAGCTACTCAGGAGGCTGTGGTGGGAGGATCACTTGAGCCCAGGAGGTCAAGGGTGCAGTAAGCCATGATGGTGCCACTGCACTCCAGCCTGAGTGACAGAGTGAGACCCTGTCTCAGAAAAATGAAAATAGAAGTAAATAAATAAAACAAAATTTAAAAGTCTACCTCATATTTGAAAACAAAGTCTGTATCACTGTACTAATTTTATGTGAAGTCAAAATTACAGAATACCCAATGCTTGTGAACATTTTAAAAAGGTTTCTAGAGGGACAAAAATGCTAGCACTCATTCTATTTGTGAGCAATCATCTTTTTTGAAGTGGAAAATCTAGAATGTTTCTCATCTAACCTAGAGACTCTGAAATGCCCACTAATGGAGAGCCAGTCTGGTGGTGTATAACCTTCATGTCTGACCTGGGATTCTGTGGATCATGTGTCTCATCCACTGTATTTCAGTGGTTTTGTTTTGTTCGTTTGTTTTTGTAGAGCCAGGGTTTCACCATGTTGCATAGGCTGGTCTTGACTTCCTGGGCTCACCCACCTCAGCCTCCCAAAGTTCTGGGATTACAGGGGTGAGCCACCATGCCTGGCCAGAATGGCTATTATTAGAAAGATAAAAAATAACAGATGCTCGGGAGGATGCAGAGAAAAGGGAACTCTTATACACTGTTGGAGAGGATGTAAATTAGTACATCTTCTATGGAAAACAGTATGGATATTTCTCGAAAAACTAGAAGTAGAACTACCATATGATCCAGCAATCTCTCTACTGAATATTTATCCAAAGGAAAATAAATCAGTATTTCAAAGGAATACCTGTACTCACATATTTATTGCAGCACTATTCACAATAGCCCAGATACAGAATCCATCTAAGTGTCCATCAGTGAATGAATGGACAAAGAAAATGTGGTACTGATACACAATGGAATATTACTCAGCCATAAAAAAGAATGAAATTCTGTCATTTGCAGCAACATGGTTGGAACTGGAGATTATTATGTTAAGGTAAACACAGAAGGACAAATATCACATGTTTTCACACATATATGGGAGCTAAAAATGTTGATGTCATAAAGGTAGAGAATAGAATGATGGTTCCCAGAGGCTAGGAAAAATGTGTGTTGGGGAGGGGGCACGAAGAGAGATTCATTAACAGGTACAAACATGCAATTAGATAAAGGGAATAAGTTCTAATGTTCCATTGCAGAGTAGGGTGACTATAGTTAACAAAAATGTATCGCATATTTCAAAGTATATATTCCAAATAACTAGAAGAGAGGACTTTACATGATCCTAACACAAAGTGATGAGAAATTGTTGAGGTGATGAACACCACAAACACCTTGACTTGATTATTATACAGTCTCTGCATGTAATAAAATATCACTTCTACCCCATAAATATGTATAAATATGTGTATCAATAAAAAATTTTAAAAACAACAAAAAAGCACGAATGGTAAAATTCCACCCGACTAATCATCTCTTGATCACCAACCCAAAACATCTAGTAGGCAAGTTCTGGCTTATGTCCAAAGAAAAGCCATTGCTTACTTCAGCAAATTGAGGTTTTTAGCTCAACATCCAAAATGGAATGGAAGACACAGCTAGTTAAGAAGTGGTACTGGCGGCCAGGTGCGATGGCTCAGGACTGTTATCCCAGCACTTTGGGAGGCCTAGGTGGGTGGATCACGAGGTCAGGAGATTGAGACCATCCTGGCTAACACAGTGAAACCCCGTCTCTACTAAAAAAGTACCAAAAAATTAGCTGGGCAAGGTGGCGGGCGCCTGTAGTCTCAGCTACTTGGGAGGCTGAGGCAGGAGAATGGCGTGAACCTGGGAGGCGGAGTTTGCAGTGAGCCAAGATCACGCCACTGCGCTCCAGCCTGGGCGACAGAGCGAGACCCCATCTCAAAAAAAAAAAAGAAAAAAAAAAAAAAAGAAGTGGTATTAGCCAGGCGCGGTAGCTCACACCTATAATCCCTGCACTTTGGGAGGCCAAGGCAGGCAGATCACCTGAGGTCGGGAGTTGAAGACCAGCTTGACCAACATGGAGAAACCCCCTCTCTACTAAAAATACAAAGTCAGCCGGGCATGGTGGCGCATGCCTGTAATCCCAGCTACTTGGGAGGCTGAGGCAGGAGAATCACTTGAACCTGGGACGTGGAGGTTGCAGTGAGCTGAGATTGCACCACTGCACTCTAGCCTGGGCAACAAGAGCAAAACTCCTCAAAAAAAAAAAAATAATAATAATAATAATAATAATAATAATAAAATAAAAAAGTAGTGGTGACAATAGAAAATGACATTACTATATGTAGGTATCTGCCAAGTATGTAAAATGAGAAGCACTTTGAAATAATAGACAGTAGACTCTACTTGGTATTGTGAAAATAATGTGTGATAAGAGGTCCTGTGGATGAATTTTGCACTTGACATCATTTTGTACCTGGGAAAGTGATTTGATAAATAGAAACACTAAAATATGCCACAGTGCATTTTTATTTATACAAATAATTCACACAGTCTTTTTTAATTTGCAGAAAATCTCGACAATTAGAAAGTCTTCAGTGGAGCTGGGAAACTGAAAACTTTCCAGGGGAAGCAGAAACCCAGGTTCTGTTACTTTGCTTCTGGAGACTTGAGCTTTGATTGTAAGTGAATTCCAGCCCTCTTGGCAGGTAGGGGAAGGAGCCCGGGATACTCCTATATAGTCCTTATTTATCCACAGGCAAAGTACAGCCTGTGGAAAGATTTTCCTGAATTGCCTTAATTTTATGTTTTACCTCTGCTCTGAGGCCAATTCTCCTGTGGCTAAAAGAGCAGTTTACAATTCACTACCAGAATAACCTGGGCTTTCTCCAAAAATGGTCATGCCCAGTACATCTTCCCAGAGGAATTACACTGCTGTTACCAGATGATTTCAGCCAGATGAGAAAACAGTCTGCAGCCAAGAAATTTAGGTCAAAAAGTGCCCTGGTGAATACATATGGGGAATTTGAAAGGAAGACATGAAATAAATCTAAACATACAATGTTGTAGAAATAGTGTAGGGCATCACATTCACAATGGGGAGGTGATTTTGCCCCCAGGGGACATTTGGTAATGTCTAGAGACAATTTTGGTTCTCACAATTGGGGGTGACAATGAGGGTGCTACTGGCATCCAGTGGGTAGGAGCCAGAGATGCCACTAAACATCCTACAGTGGACAGGGCAGCCCCACAGGAAAGAATTCTCCAGCTCAAATGTCAACACTGCTGAGCTTGAGAAACCCTGTGTCAGAGGAAGCAAAGTAAGTTTGGATTCACGGAACAAATGTGCCAATGAGGAGTCTGCATGGATTTTTATAGATTTGTGAATTTGCAGGGGGCTTTTTGCATAGCTGTCTTTTTGCAAAGAGTTCATGGCACTCTGACCTGAATCTGGGGTGCAGGTGAGAAGGGAGACTGTCCCATGTGAAGCACTATTTGGGGCAGGTACCTGAGATTTTTCCAGATGTCTGTAGTGATGATGGCTGGACAGGTGGAGCACTCTCACTGCTGGCCCAGGAAGGACCACCCTGCTGCCCCAGTCCTTTGAACACACCCATGTTTGGGGGCAAAACATGGGCTGAGACCCAAGCAGGGCTGAGACACAAGTTTATGGCTGTGATTGTGTGATCCCAGGTTGGACTAATCAGAGTGTGGACCCAGAAAATCTGAGACAGTTCTCAGTTAATTTTGAAAGTTTATTTTGGTAAGGTTGAGGACACATGCCCATGACACAGCCTCAGGACATCCTGACGACATGTCCCCAAGGTGGTCGAGGCACATCTTGGTTTTATACATTTTAGCGAGACATGAGCCATCAATCAATAAATGTAAGAAGTACATTGGTTTGGTCTGGAAAGGAGGGACAACTCAAAGCAAAGGCAGGAAGACTCAAAGCAAGGAGGGGGATTCCAAGTCACAGGTAGGTGAGAGACAAATGGTCACATGCTTTTGAGTTTCTGAATAGCCTTTTCAATAATTAAATTTGTTTTTCAAAATTTTGTAAACAACCGGTAACATTTTAATCTTGATCATAACATAAACTTCCATAAGCCTTTTATAATCTTTATAACCTTTATTAAGGAACTGGTTAATGTTTCAAGAAAACCTTGTTAATCTGACACAGGAGTCCATATGCTAGTCTTGCATCAGTGTGCCTTTGACATTAATGATTAATTTACAGAGAAACAACTTATTTTCTCTCTTAAAATTGGCCCTTATAATCTCACATGCCCACCTCTTCCATGATAGTCCCTGGGCCTTGAGGAATTGAATGGCTTTAATTTCTGGCCCTGTATCTCAGGAATGCAGTTTATTTTGATTGGCATCATCTATGATGCCAATCAATAAAGATGAAACTTTGACCAGGCACGGTGGCTCACACCTGTAATCCCAGCTCTTTGGGAGGCCAAGGCGGGCGGATCACCTGAGTTTGGGAGTTCAAGACCAGCCTGACCAACATGGAGAAACCCCATCTCTACTAAAAATTCAAAAGTAGCCAGGCATGGTGGCACATGCCTGTAATCCCAGCTACTCAGGAGGCTGAGGCAGGAGAATCGCTTGAATGTGGGAGGTGGAGGTCGCAGTGAGCCAAGCTGGCACCATTGCACGCCAGCCTGGGCAACAAGAGTGAAACTCTGTCTCAAAAATAAATAAATAAATAAGTAAATAAAGATGAAGCTTTAATTGCTGTCAGTGTTTAAGATTTAGCAGGACTTGGTGTCCTTTATAGACCCAGGAGGCAAAGCCCTGTAACTTAATGTCACGAGTACTTTAAAAGCACATACAGAAAGGCACACAGATGTAATAACCTTAATTTAAAAAAATTTCAGTCTCAGTTTTTTCCTAAGCAAACCAAACTTAATAATAATAGCATAGAAGTTATTTTGATAAAACATAAAATCTGTTAGGCCAGTTACCAAAAGGCAAAAGAAAAAACTTCTGTAGTATACAGAATACTATGTTGGAAGAAAACATTTCCTTTAGACCTTTAAGAAAACATGCCCTTTAAAAGGGGAGAGAAAGCCGAAAAACCTGGGATGCAATAAAAGTTGAACTTTTGGTTAAAAAAAATTAAAATCTCTTGTAATTTATTAAGAGTAAATCAACCCTTAAGAAAACCTCATTGTTCTAACCAATAATTTAGGGTATAAGTGGTTTTTTTTTTACATCAAGCCCAGTCTCTAGGAAGATCATTATAATTTCCCTTTGATTATAAACAATTTGATCACATAAAAGTTATTTTTTTTAAATAAATCCTCTTATTGTGACTTACACAGACCATTCATGACATGCCTGGACTTTCTTGTTTGTCCTGAACATCCCTCTTTCTTAAAAAACAAGTCATTTTATTTTAGACTAAATTTACCATACAAGATTCTTTCTTATATGAAATTATTCCTCTTTAAGCTTTCTTTCTTTTTTTTTGAGATGGATACTTACTCTGTCACCCAGGCTGGAGTGCAGTGGCACGATCTCAGCTAACTGCAATCTCTGCCTCCTGCGTTCAAGCAATTCTCATGCCTCAACTTCCAAGTAGCTGGGACTACAGGTGTGCACCACCATGCCTGGCTAACTTTGGTATTTTTAGTAGAGATTTGTTTTGCCTTGTTGGCCAGGCTGGTCTCGAACTCCTGACCTCAAGTGATCCATTCACCTCGGCCTCCCAAAGTGCTGGGATTACAGGTGTGAGCCACGTTGCCCAGCCTAATATAACTTTAGATTCTAAATTATGACGAGTTTGTCTACAAGTATTTATCCCATTACATTTACCTAATTATTTTATTTTAATTGTTTTCCTAGATTATTTATGAAAACTGTGATAGTCATGATTTAAAGTTATGAAACCACCATTGTAAAATTATAACTGAGACAGTGAAAAAGATATGACCTAACTGACTCCATCTTGCTTCTAACCTCCAAGCTGTCCTTGTTCATTCCTGGACTTTGGGAGGAACTTAGTTTATAGTTTAGCTATCAAACAAAGACAGTAACACTCCTTTTCCAAAACAAACCTCCTTACTGCCTGTGGACTAGACTGCTTAAAGCCACAAGATTGACGTTATGGTAATTTTACTAAATAATTCAAGATGTAGCTATTTTTTAAACCAATATTAATGTTTTATTTATTAAAAGTAACACAAACAAGGATCATTCTGTCTTGTGCTGGGTTTATAGTTTTGTAACCCCTGTGCCAAGTTTTGACACAGTATCCCTGACAGTATTTGGGAGGGATAAGTATGAAATTGCTTGATTAATAAATGCAAACAGAAATGTATACTGGTAATTCTTAAGACGTTTCTAATATTACTTTACCAATAATTTTAAAGCTAGCTTATTTATTAAATATTTTACTTAAGTCACATAAACTTGAAAAAGCATTTGACTAGTCTTTCCCTTTTCTGATACAGTATTTAAATGCCTTTATTTTTCTTTAAGCCAATTAATTAGAGCTCTTTTATATATTTTCAGTAGTGAAACATTGTGTACACCACACATAAATATAGGTGTACATCTTACAGATTCATAAAGACCCCCCCATTTTTTCCTATCTTAAACTTCCAGGTTCTTGATAACCTGTTTCACAACCTTAGGCAGTTGTCAGCTAAATAGCCTGAAATTTGCATATTAAAGGAAACAACTCAGGTAAAAATCAAATAGCAAAATTTACATAAGGTACAAAGAGAAAAAGCCTGGTGGTGTTAGAGGGAGATTAAAGGTGGATGCTAAATCAAACATAAAATTATAGAAATGTATCACAGGATTGCATGAGAAGACCAATTTTATTTAGATAGGGACTTCCTATCTTTTAACTGGATCTCTGGGCTCTGGGCAGAGCCTATGCTGAATCCTGGGTTTCCAAAAAGGGAGAATTATTTTGAGGTTAGACTCTGTGATGTTTTTACAGTGCACTTAAAAAAATTTTTTTTTAAGTGTAATCCCAGCACTTTGGGAGGCTGAGACGGGTGGATAACGAGGTCAGGAGTTCAAGGCCAGCCTTACCAACATGGTGAAACCCTGCCTCTACTAAAAATACAAAACTTAGCCAGGCGTGGTGGCATGTGCCTGTAATCCCAGCTACTCAGGAGGCTGAGGCAGGAGAATTGCTTGAACCCAGGAAGCAGAGGTTGCATTGAGCTGAGATCGTGCCACTGTACTCCAGCCTGCGCAACGGAGTGAGACTCCATCCTAAGAAAGAAAGAAAAAAAAAAAAGGACATAGTCCCAGGAGAGAAAAAAGAAAAACAAAAACATGAAGGCCTTTTAAATACAAACACACACATACACACACACATACACACACACACACATCTTGGATGTTAGCTTTTAATTAAGCTGATTTTTAACCATTGAGCTTCTTTTAAAAAAATATTTTTAAATCTCATTACTATATTTCAGCTGGGACAAATTGCTGCTATTTCAGAAGCACCAATGTAGGACTTCCTGAGTTTTGTCACAGGTACATCCTTAACCTTGGCAAAATAAACTTTCTAAATTGATTGAGACCTGTCTTGGATACTTTGGGTTCACAAATTGGTAATCATGAAGGGATTGTGAGTGGAAGGGCCCCTGACCTTTGACAAATCTGTTGTTGCTTGGTACCAGCTTGAGCTATCCCTATGGCTCAAACCAACAGGAAAATTTGCTGAGGCCTAGGCACCCCCTCCCTCCAGGGTATCACTGTTCTCTCAAAATTTGGTCAAGTTCTGAAGTTTTTTTTTGCTATGCAAGTACTTTTGTGGAGTTTTGCTTGCTTCCAACAATGAAGGCAAGTTTTCCTGCTTCATGATGATGGAAGGCAGGCAACTCTTTTCTGGACTTGCAGCTCACTTCCAACAGGCAAGGCAAGTTTGAGTTTTTCTCCTGTTTCTAGGATGGTAGAGAGCAGTCTTCAACCTGGGACCCATTCCTAGGTAAGTAGCTGAATTGTTCTTTTTTTTTTTGTCTTGGAAATTCTTCTTAATCACTAAAGTCAAGATTCACAACCAGCTAGTATTAATTACGCCTTACCATTAGAGCGCTCAGTAATCGTATAAATTGTGCAATTGTTTGTTTTGCTTAACTCTTTTGTTGTTGTTGTTTATTTGTTTCTGTTTTGTTGTTGTTTTGGTCTTTTTCCCATTGGGTTTGACCAACTCCATCCAACTTGATCAAATCCAAAGAAAAGTTTCAAATTATGGGGAACAAGTCCTCTGAATTGGCTACATTCCTGCAGCTGGAAAAAAAAAAGGAAAAAGAAAAAAATGGCCAGCAAAAGGGAAAAAAAGGGAACGATTTTTGATTTTGACTGCCCTAGGGGCTTTATTTCCATAACAAGGCCACGTTTTTGCTAGCCAAGCCACACTGAAAGAGAGCAATGGCTGTTGCCCCACTGCAGTTCAATAGCTTAGTTCTGCCCTTTTTTTCCACTACTACAGCCTGGGTTTGGTTCCTAAATCAAGTCCTTTTCGGTTTGATATTTGTGCTACTTTTGAAATATCAGCAATTTGGCCCAGCTAAAATATGGTAATAAGATTTTAAAAATTTGTTCTAAGGAGCTCAGTGGTTAAAAGTCAGCTTAATTAAAAGCTAATATCCAGTGTGTGTGTGTGTGTGTGTGTGTGTGTGTGTGTGTGTGTGTGTGTGTGTGTGTGTGTGTTTATTTAAAAGATCTTTTTTTCCTCTCGTAGAACCTTGTTTTTATAAGAAAAGTTTTTTTTCTTTCTTTCTTCTCAGTTGACCGAAATCTGTTTTCTACGTTAACTTTTGCTGCCTCTCCTTGCTCTTGACACGTTGCTACATGAGAGACCTAAAACATTTTCTAACAGCCTGTGATTCCTTAAAGAAAGCAGAGAAGGTGTCAGACTCCCCTTTGGGGTGAAACCTCTGTTTTTTATTTTGGAACCCTAAAAGTGTAAACAGACAAGTTCATCCTATATCTTAAATTCCTTGCTTTTGTATTGTGTTACCTGATGTTTTTTTTTTTTTTTTCTGACTAAAATAGTTACTTCAGCAGAGTCTACTCTTGGGTGTTTTACTTAAGGAAGAGTGTAGTTTAGACACTTAGAGAAATGTCTTTATTAAAAAATAGGTACACTGTAAAAGCATCATGTGTTCTAGTCTCAAAAAATTATATGTTTTGGGAGACACAGGATTCAGTGTGGGCTCTGCCCAGAGCTCAGAGATCCAGTTAAAAGCTAGAGACTAAATTTAGAACTACCTATCTAAATAAAATTGGTCTCCTTATACAATCCTATGATAGATTTCTATAGTTTCATGTTTGATTTGGCATCCGTTCTTAATCTCCCTCTAGCACATCAGACTCTTTCCCTCTGTACTTTGAGATGTAAACTTTGATATCTGATTTTTCCCCCAGGAGCTGTTTCCTTAATATGCAAACTTAGGGCTACCTGGCTGACAACTGGCTAGGATAATAAAACAGGTGTAAAAAGTAAAGTAGAGGTTCCTCTTCAAAGGCTTTCCTCCCCATCTAATTAAGAATAAATAGTAACTTCTCTTAGAAGCAAAATTTATTCAAAGGCCTGTGCTAACATTCTTAAGTATCTGTTAGCCGTAATAAGGAAATCAATGTACTTTATGTTCTTAGCTCCCACAATTTAGCCTAAGTATTTGCCCTGGCACGCTTATACTGGTCCAAGCAAGCATTAAGTCATAGCCTGTTCCTCTTCCATATTTGAAGGTGTTTTTACCTTTCTCAGCATTCCACAAGTTACTTCCTCCTTCCTTTGTTCTCCTCTGCCTTTGCCTCTTTTAAAAAGTTGTAAGTTGCTAGCCAATCAGGACAAATACAGAATGTGAGGTCCCGTTCCAGCTGATGGAAACCAGGCACAGCAGTAAGGTGGACATGTCAGGTTATAAATGACCCTGTCTCCTTTGTTCGGTGTACTCTTGTGGCAAAACTGCTGGCGAGTGTACCCTTTCTGCACAAAGTAAAAAAAATGGCCTTGCTGAAGAAATTAAATTTATGTTCAAGTGCTATTTCTTTATAGCACCGAAGAACAAACATTTCTAACACAGGTTATCAAGAAATTGGAAATCTAAAATAGGAGGAAAAAATAAGAGGGCTTATGAATGTATAAGATCTACTTTTATCTGCATGTCTAATACGTCTATGTATTTATGTGTCGTGTATATGAGATTTCACTACTAAAAAGACATAAAAGAGCTCTAATCAACTGGCTTAAAGAAGAAAAAAAAGCACTTATATCGAATACCTTATCAGAAGAAATGGAGACTTTAACAAAGGCTTTTTCAAGTTCATGTGACTTGAGTCAATCTTTAATAGATAAGCTGATTTTTAAAATATTGGTGAAATAGAATTGGAAATGGCTTCAAAATTGTCAATATACATTATGGTTTAAATTTACTGGTCAAGTATTTTTTTTTTTTTTTTGAGACGGAGTTTATGCTCATGTTACCACGCTGGAGTGCAATGGTGCAATCTCAGCTCACCGCAACCTCCGCCTCCCAGGTTCAAGCGATTCTCCTGCCTCAGCCTCCTGAGTAGCTGGGATTACAGGCATATGCCAGCTAATTTTGTATTTTTAGTAGAGACAGGGTTTCTCCATGTTGGTCAGGCTGGTCTCGAACTCTCAACCTCAGGTGATCCGCCCGCCTCAGCCTCCCAAAGTGCTAGGATTACAGGCGTGAGCCACCACGCTCGGCCTTGGTCAAATATTTTTATATTTATCTCTGCTAGGTGTCAAAATTTGGCAGGAGGTTATAAAACTATGAACACAGCCTGAAAGAGAATTATCTTTGTGTACAATTTAACAAGTAAGACATTTAACTCTGTTTAATGAAAACAGCTAAATCCTGAGTTACTGGCAAAACAGAAAAAAAAAAACACCTCATTTATGTAACCTTAAGATTTTCTTAGGAAAACCTTAAATTCACAGGCTATAAAAATAGTTAATGGGGAAATAACTTTAAATTATAACTATTGCAGTTTTCATAAGTAACCTGGGTAAACTATTTTAAAAAATTAATTAGGTAAATGTAATGGCATAAATGTCTGTAAACTTGTCACATAGTTTAAAATCTAAAGTTACATTAAGTTAAATAATAGAGTCTAATTAAATGTCTAACTTCCAATTTTTAAAAAATTATAGGAAAACATTTTTCTAAATGTGTTATTAAATGAGAATAATTTTTATCTAATTCAGAGATTATTTAAAATTTATTTATGATGGCCAAGCACGGTTTCTCACGCCTGTAATCCCAGTACTTCAGGAGGCTGAGGCAGGTTGATCACTTGAGATCAGGAGTTCAAGAACAGCCTGGCCAACATGGTGAAAACCCGTCTCTACTAAAAAGACAAAATTTACGTGGGTGGGGCAGGCCTGTAATCCCAGCTACGTGGGAGGCTGAGGGAGGGGAATCTCTTGAACCTAGAAGGCAGAGGTTGCAGTGAACTGAGATCGCACCACTGTACTCCAGCCTAGGCGACAGAGCTCTCGAAAGAAAAAGTTATTTATGAGACAAGGTACAAAGTAACCAGTAAATAAGAGCAATATAAAGAAAGTTACAAATGTAAAGAGGTTTTTTTTTTTTTTTTTTGGCAAGAAAGGTTAAAAGGAAAATAATTTTGTATGCGAAAAAATCTTGTATGGCAAAATTTTGTTCTAAAATAAAATGACTAGTTATTTCATTTTCTTTTTTTTCTTTTTTGTTGTCTTTTTTCTTTATTATTTCTTTCTACTATTTTCTGCTGGCAGGAAGTGACTGGTTATTTAAGAAAGAGGGATGTCTAGAATGAAACAGGAAGCCCAAGCATGTATAAATGACTTGTATCGAGTTTTCTATAATTAAAGGGAAATTATTTATAATAGCGTTTCTAGAGATTGGGTTTGATACAAAAATACACTTATACACTCAATAATTGGTTAGAACAATGACATTTTTAAATGTACAGATTGACTCTTAATAAAATTACAAGAGATTTCTTTTTATTTTAAACCCAAAGTTCAACTCTTATTGTGTCTTGCTGTTTTCAGTTTTCCCTTCCCTTTGAAAAGCCCTGAGATAATAACTCTCTCCTTCAACTCATTATCAGCTCCTGGAATTTTTTTTCCTCGGGTTCTAACTATTTGTTATAGTTTGATGCTAAAAATGTTTTATCTTAAAGTTCAAAAGGAAATGTTTTCTTCCAACATAACATTCTGTGCTTCTGGCTTTAAATTGTTCTATGAGTCTGAAAATTTGCACTTATTACCCAGGAAACACTCTTCTTATGTCTAACTAATTGAAGTACTCTTTTCATTAGTTTTGACTTGGCAGGTTACCTAAATGGATTCCCCAGAGGGAACAACAATCGCACTGCAGAAGGTCTTCTCTTTGCCTTTTGGTAACTGGCCTAACAAACACATTTTATGTTTTACTGAAATAATGGCTACGCCATTGTTATTTAGTTCTGATTTTGCTTAGAAAAAAAAACTGAGGTTTTTTTAAACTTAAGTTTGTTACATCCATGTAACTTTCTGTTTTTTGCTTTTAAAGTCCTTGTGCCATTAAGTTACAGGGCTTTGACTCCTGGGTCTAAAAAGGACATCAAGTCCTGCTAAATCATGAACACTGAAAGCAGTTAAAGCCTCGTCTTCAGACCTAGTAGAAGATGCCAAGCAAAATAAACTGTTCATAAGACACAGGGACAGAGGTTATAACTATTCAATTCCAGGAACTGCTGTGGAAGAAGTGGGTACCTGAGATTGGAAGTGCCAAATTTGAGAGAGAAAATTAGTTCAGTTTCTCTGTAAATTAACCATTAATATTGGAGACACACTGATACGAGACCAGCATCTGGGCCCAGTGGCAGATTAACAAGGTTTTCCAGAAGCATTCACCCACTCCTTAATAAAAACATTGTAAAGTTTATTAAAAATTTATAGAAATTATATCTTACAGTCAAGATAATTAAAATTTAATAAATTTGTTTATAAAATTTTGAGATACATTTTAATTGGCCTCATGCTATCTTTATTAAGGCTTATTGTTTGGGAAATTAAGTCTCCTCTCTCAAAAAATTAAGGTTTTTTTAACAAATCTTTGAGTTATTACTTTGGCTAAATGAATGACTTATTTTACAGTGACCTGTGATCCTATTTTGTGATGTGAACTGTTTTAAGCATTTTTTTTTTTTGAGATGGAGTTTCACTCTTGTTGCCTAGGCTGGAGTGCAATGGTGCGATCTCGGCTCACCGCAACCTCCACCTCCCGGATTCAAGCAATTCTCCTGCCTCAGCCTCCCAAGTAGCTGGGATTACAGGCATGCACCACCATGCCTGGCTAATTTTCTATTTTTAGTAGAGACGGGGTTTCTCCATATTGGTCAGGCTGGTCTTGAACTCCCGACCTCAGGTGATCTGCCTGCCTTGGCCTCCCAAAGTGCTAGGATTACAGGCGTGAGCTGCTGCGCCTGGCTTTTTGTTGTTGTTGTTGCTTTGTTTTGTTTTTTGAGATGGAGTCTTGCTCTGTTGCCCAGGCTGGAGTGCAGTGGTGCGATCTTGGCTCACTGCAACCTGTGCTTCCTGAGTAGCTGGGATTAGAGGCGTGTGCCACCATGCCCAGCTAATTTTTGTATTTTTAGTAGAGACGGGGGTTTCACCATGCTGGTCAGGTTGGTCTCGAACTCCTGACCTCGTGATCTGCCCATCTCAGCCTCTCAAAGTGCTGGGATTACAGGTGTGAGCCACTGTGCCCGGCTGAAACTTTTTATGTTTGACAAACTTTCGCAAATCAGATTCAAACTTTGGTCCTCATTAATCTTTTGATATTAGATCCCCTGAAGTCCAAAAGAGACATATTCAAGTTATTTGATATAATAAAATCATACAGGAACTATTGTCAAATATGAAATGGCATTTAACCTTCTTTGGATTATATTTATATGAGTGTGTTATTAGTATGTGTTTCAGAATTGTATGAGATTGTTGTGATTCTGATATGTCCTAGTATATATTATCAGTAGTAACTATCATTATGTAAAATTGTTATATGCCATAGAAGTAACCAAATTTCCTTGTCAGTTGTGTTTAAAAGACTGTTTTAAAACTTTTGTTATCCACAGTTGTTGTACTCATATCCTTTTCAAAAGGTGGTTTTATAATCAGCTACAGGACTCTGACAGGTGCTCTCGAAGGCAGGTGTTTAATAACTTTGGAGACTGTGACACTAGAATAGAGGAAAAACTTCCAAGACTCTCATAGACAGGTAATGTATTCAAAAACATTGAACAGAACAAGAGTTAACTATGTAGACTAAACTAATGGAAAACTGAAATAATCTTTTTTTGACTTGTTTTGAAACATTACTAACTCTTGTTTCTGAGTCCAGAAAACCCCTTTGAACTATTTACAGCTTTTAACAATTGGGTTAACTACACTCCCGTGAGCAAAATCTAAAGCATATTTCTTTCTACCTAATTCCTCCAAATTTGAAAGCTATTTGCAAGCATACTTAATTTGTATCAGTATAATTATTTGCATAATTCAATAATAATCTGTTTTCTTTTGTAACAGGATACAGTTGAGGACAATGGTAATTTAACCAAGTCTTTGACTGGAGTTGCATACTTTCAGATATAAAGAAACTGCTTTAAGGGATCAGAGTTGACTTAGAAAGCCAATAAAAGCCCCTTTGGAAAGCTGGCCTCCTACCTTGTCTACCCAGTTCTTGTACAGGTTTCTGACCTGTGGTAAGTGAAGAATGTCACTTTCTGACAGGCCCAGGAGCCCCAAATTATCTTGGGAACTTGGTGAGGAGTTCACCCAATTAATACAGGTATTTGCAGGCACAGATAAATCTGTGGCTGGGCTCAAGTCTTGGAAGTGTAATCTGAGATTCCCTATGAACAAAGTTCCAGCAAAGCCAATTAAAAAAATAAAAGAGACTATGTGGCAAATAATTATTCTTGCTGACTTTATGCAAACAGTCCAAGCATAAAAAGACTAACGCTTATTTTACACATAAATTTGTCCTATTATTTGTCATTAGTGAAAACGGGTACTAGAGAAAGAAAAATTATATTTCAAAATGAACTATAGTACACCTGTTATTAGATTCTAGTCTCGCCTAATGCTTTAAAGTTTCCTTTGTTTTCTAGTTTGGACTGAATTTTAAAATTTTTTCTGGCTACAAGTCTCCAAAATAATGTTTTCACTTTTTTCCCTTCTTTCCTCCCTGCCCCTCATTTTTCTTGATTTGAAACTACTAAAAATTAAGCTGTGCCTTCTTAAAGGCTGGAGCCTGGAGCACATGAGGAGAATTCACAGAAGTGCCTGGAAAGGGAACTGCGGTGGATCTTACAGAGACTTGAAACATGTGGAGAAGTTTGGCTTTTATTCATAAAGGACAAAGTGCTGCCTCCACCTCCCCACCTGTCTAGTTTTATTCAGTGATGTCTATCCTCATGACTTGGGCCATTTTCATCATCACGTCTATTTGGTTACCTAGGTCTGCCGTTTTTTGTTTTTGTTTTTTCCCAAATGCTTTCCACATAAGATGGCCTAGGTGTCAATTGCTTATCTCAGTGGAATCATTTCTACTCACCTATAAAATGGGAGTAATAAAAATGCTATGTATCCGATTGTTGTGAGGATGAAATGGGAATA
This sequence comes from Homo sapiens, assembly GCF_000001405.40. Classification (NCBI taxonomy): domain Eukaryota; kingdom Metazoa; phylum Chordata; class Mammalia; order Primates; family Hominidae; genus Homo; species Homo sapiens. The sequence goes on from NC_000006.12 coordinate 161,337,882, forward strand.
CTTGGACATGGGGCCTGGTTGCTGGTGGAGGCATCTGCTCTGTTCCCTGCTGCATCCCTCACTTCCTGCCATCCTCTTGCCCCACTTCTGCAGTGCTGAGTGACAGGCCCACAGCCTCCATGCCCTCCTGTTCCTTCCTTCTCTGCTGATCTTTTCTGTTTCCAGACACATCTGCCACTACTGTCTGGTCCAAACACTCTTTCACCTAGGAAGTTTAAGCACGTTGTTGAACTAGAAATAATGTATTCACTCAGTTACTTATACACACATTCTTTTCCCACTCATTAAAAGTGGTTTGAAAAATTTATTTCATTGTTCTTAAAGTGCTGAATCAAGTGTTTTTCCTTTGGTTGGGAAAGGCCTTTGCCGTTTACCTTCATCCACTCATTCATTTGTGAAGATGTGTGTGCAGGCCCTATGGTGACAGTGTCTGTCTAAAGTGAAGAGCTCAGCACCCAAACTCTAGAACATCTGAAAACGTAGCTAGATCCTGTGTTCTCTTCTCTAACAGAGTTAAAGTTAAGGTGCATTTACTCAGTGCCTAGGGGGTAAAAATGTGCGGTTCAGACTTCAACCATGTGGGTGCTGTTTTTACCCAGAATACCAACTGATTCCAGGAAAGAGTATTAGGAGATTCAAGATTTCTATTTCTTTTGAACATATGTTATTAGAGTTAATTGTTAGGAAACTATTTTAAAGATAATTATTTGAATACTGAAAATGACTTTGATTTCTAACAGGAAGCCAGGCTCACTTGTTACTTCCACATATGTGATGAAGGCAAAAGACCACAGTTGCATACATTTGCATAGTTATCCTCGAGACTGGAAATGTCAGTAAGATGCAATTGATTGACTTGCTGATTGTCTTTCCTCATGTGAGCGTCTTTTCCATGTTCATGACCCACCACTGATATTCTGTGGAACTGAACTAAAACTATGGTCCCCGAAGCCTTGTTGGGGGTGTGGAGGAAGGCGAGAGAGTGGAGGGGAGGGGACGGACACAGTATTCCTGTCAGGGTGCAGCTGCAGCTCTGCTCCAAGGCACACTTTTCCTCTGGATTCCACAGAATTTCTCCCAGGGTCATCCTTCTCCAGTAGCAGCCCCTCCACCTGGAGCATCACTGGTGGGCAGTTGTGGCGTCAGGCACTGTCTCTGCCCTCATCTGCTCTGGCTGGGGCAGCAGGATTGATTTCATTCAAAAGACAACTGGTTTTCATGGCAGGGGCTATAGTGAGCAGAGCAGAGAACAGGCACTTGGGCGTCCTACTGGCTTTCTTCTTGCCTGAGGCTAGTCCTCCTTGAGCCAATCCTATGTCTCCTAGAGCACTTAGTTGTCCCTCTGTACTTTCAACCTCTGGCTCCCGCCCTATAGTCATAAATGTGCTAGAGGCTTAAAACAAATGCCTCACCACCACCTTTTATCTCGCCTACCAACAAGTACCCCCCAAAATTAGGGTTAGCTGAGCATGGTGTCTCATGCCTGTAAATCCCAGCACTTTGGGAGGCCGAGGCAGGAGGATCACCTGAGCTCAGGAGTTCCAGACCAGCCAGGGCAACAAAGTGAGACCCTGTCTCTAGAAAAAAAAAAAAAAATTTAGCCAAGCATGGTGGCACACAGCTGTAGTCCCAGCTACTTAGGAGGCTGGAGGACCACTTGAGCCTGGGAGGTCGAGGCTATAGTGAGCTGTGATTGTGCCACTTCACTCCAGCCTGGGCAACAGAGTGAGACCCTGTCTCATAAAAAAGAAAATTAAGGTCATATTTGCTGTTTACTTCTCTATCTTCCATTCATTTCTTTTTGGTGACAGCTTAATTGAGATAGAATCCAACATATCATACAATTCACCCATTGAAGTGTATAATTCAATAGTTCTTAATATATTCACAGATTGCCATCAACCCCAAAGGAAACCCTGTGGCCATTAGCAGTCACTCCCATTCCCTCCTCTGCTCAGCTGTAGGTAACCACTAATCAACTTTTTGTCTATTCTGTACCATTCATATAAATGGAATCATACATTAAATTCATGGTCCTTTGTGTCTGGCTTCTTTCACTTTGCAGAATGTTTTCAAGGTTCATCCATGCTGTTGAAACAGGTTTTATCATTCTTCATTTAAAATATCCACATGTAAGGTATAATATATGTGGAGGGATTCAGTTCTTTGGGCCATTTGCAAATAATTTAGCTTATGCACATGTAGTACAAGCAAAATTAAGTACAACTAACGAGTATTAATATAGAGATGTAGCAAGGCATAGGAAAGGAAATCCAGCAGTTGAAGAGGTTTTGTGGCCTGAAAGTCTTCATAGAGTTGTTTGATCAAAAAGGCCCTGAGATATCCTCAGGTACATCATCGGATCTGCACAGTGACCATCCATGCCACCACCTGGTGTGGGAGCGCCTGGTGATAGTTCACTCACTAATCAGACCCATTTGAAGACATTCAAATCAGCAGAAGCACCTTCAACTCTCACAGAACACCTGGGGCACCCCGGACACCATCAACTTCTCTAACTTTAAGGACTACCCAAGTGGAGACTGTAGCGTAGCCATATTCCCCACGCGAACCTCAGTAAAACTCCCTACCACATATTCACAAAGGAGGCCGGTCGATAGATTTCTATTGGCCTTCTCTCTTTTAAGTAATGACTTTCATTTTTGTCTTTGAAAATGAAGCATCCTTGTGATAAAAATATTCAAGTGATATGGAAAAGCATAAAGAAGAAAAGAAAAATCACCCCAAATTTCACCACCATCCAAAAAGCCAGTATCACCTTTGGTAAGCATCATTCCTGTCATCAATGTTGGCCAAGCATACAGATGGAAGAATAGATAGATGGTGGCTAGAAACCCAAAAAACAATGATTTTATTTTATAAAAAGGCGATCATACTATACGGTGCTCTTTTTTTCATGTTAAATAATAATTTTTGGCTGGGTACAGTGGCTCACACCTGTAATCTCAGCACTTTGGGAGGCCGAGGCAGGTGGATCACAAGGTCAGGAGTTCGAGACCAGCCTGGCCAACATGATGAAACCCTGTCTCTACTAAAAATACAAAAATTAGCTGGGTGTGGTGGTGGGCACCTGTAATCCCAGCTATTCGGGAGGCTGAGACAGGAGAATTGCTTGAACCCAGGAGGCGGAGGTTGCAGTGAGCTGAGATTGTGCCACTGCACTCCAACCTGGGCAACAGAGAGAGACTTCCAAAAGAAAAAATATATATATAAATTTTTGTTTCATAGGAAATTAGAAGAAAAAGAAAACAAATGAAATGGACTGGACTGCTAAAATTATGTAAGTATTTCTTCAGATTAGTTCGCAAAAGTTGCCTCTAATGTTACGTAATTAAAATAACAACAAAGGGGTCAAGACTCTATATTCTTTTAGCCACAGGTTTAAATTTTAGACAATCTGGATCAACTCTGCTCTATAAAACCTCTTCCAACCTCTCTTCCCCAGCCTCCTAATTTTTTTTTCCCTTATGTACTGTAAATGTAATTCCTCCAGGGTTGGTTTGTTTGCTGTTATTTAATTATTTCTTTGGGTTCATGCCCTGGGAATCCACGTTCACCTTAAGCCATGGCTTCTGTTCTTATCACTGAAATTATAGGTTCATCTCTCATCAGATTATTAATTTGGAAGGAAAATATTTATTCTAAAATAACAAGCAATTAGAGATGTACTTCTAATCTTGTACAAGTAGGTTAACATAACAAATTCTCTTGAGTCATTTCTTTACAATTTTAAGCTATCATCTGAAATTATTATTTTGAAGGGTCTATTTATTAAAAATGATTCATCGGTAACACAAAGAGCTACATAAAAAGTATTTCTAGGACTTCTCTCCTAAGATTCAAGTGTTTACTGAACCTGACCGTTGGAGGTCTCACAGACCGTGAGATTTCAGCAGGTGTAAATAGAGCCACCTTTTTCCTGCCACCCCCGAGTCTCACAGGCAAACTTGGCTCTGGCTCTGCTCCTGTGCTCTGCAGCCTGGCTCATGGGACTCCAGGCCCACAGCCATCCAAGAAGAACTTAAGACATATCCCAGAATCCTCTCTTGCTCCTTGGTCACATCCTTTCATTACATAAATGGAGACTTATGGCCTGCAAAGCCTAAATTATCTACTATCTGGTTTGTACAGGAACATTTGCTGGCCCCTGGAATGGACTATGCTTTCTAGTCTTCATGAACACACTTGAGTTCTGGGATTCTCTGATTTCATAATGTTATTACTAAAGAATTTTCAGACCAGCATCGTTCCCTTGCATGACCATGGCATGGCGAACTTTGCAACTGTCATTCCTGGAATACTTTTTTCCCTATCAGTGTCACCATCAGGGACAGGAATAAACATGCATGGGTGAGCCAATTCAAATAAAAGTTTTGCCGTATCTATGAAGCAGGTCTGGGAACCATAGGACCTAGTTGCTGTCACCTTGTAACTCACTCTTTCACATGAACCTGCTAAGCAATCATGATTCTCCTAAGGGGTTGAATGAGGAGGCCAGCATCCTCTGACATAAATGGATGTTGCTGTTGATAGGTCACTACCAGTTATCAACTGCCAGGCATGCTTCCAAGTGCTTCTTGGTGTTTGGTGACCCACAGTAGAAATGAGCTATGTTCAGAGTTACTTACTTACAAGGATGTGATTGCTGTGTGTGTCTCTGAATTCTACTGTGGTGTCTCTGATTCCCATCTTGTGCCTTATTCCTGGTGCTTAGAGTTCTTGCAAACACTTGAAACTGAGTGGTTTTGCATTTATGTTTTTGCTATTGTTGAAATTATGCTGCCCTAGGGGTTGTCAACTACTTTCAGAGAGAAAAAAAAAAAAACTGGTGGGAGGTGCTGCATCCCATTCTTCAAAGAGAGGTATCTAGTATTTGCTAAACCAACTAGGAGACCCATTTTAACTAACATTGTTTGGGCTACCAAGATGATAAAATGAATGAAAAAGCTTGGTGACTAAAAAACTTCACCTAGAACAATAAATAAGCAGGAAAGGCAAGAAAAGAAAAGCAAATGATAATGACTTTTCAATTACACCCAAATTAAAAGGAACGATGGCAGTTTTTCTAAATGATAGTTTCATTGGTGGCACTTGGCATGTGTGGTTCTACAATCCCAGTTTCCAATTGTTTTGCACAGATCCAAGGTGAGTGGGCAATGAAGGGGGTGGATGAGCCCCTTAGCTGATGACTGTTGATGACTGGTCTCTACTTATCCATGAAATCAATAAACACAGCAAGGAACTGCCCTCATGGAGTTAGCACTCTAGCTGGGGAGACCAGGTGAGCACTATAGATGTGATGGGTTGACCTGATAGGCCTTCAGGAAGGGAAGAAGCAGACCGATGTGTGGGAAGAGCATGCCAAACCTAGAGACCCACGGGGAGCTCATTCCAGGAAAATCAGCTGGAGAAAATGGAGATTCAGTGATGGCTACATGGAACTCCAGTGAAATCATGAAATCTAAATGCCTTTGTGAAAAATGGTCCTGAAGATAAAGCCAGGTGCTAAAAGAGAGCTGTTTCAGAATTGAGAGGTTCTCAAATACCACGTGGCAGGTCCTTTGGGAGTATGAAGCCTTGCCAGGCTTCAGTTGATCCTGTTTTTAGTGGGATAAACTTCTTTGGGAGGCATCAGTATTGGAAGTGTCAGCCTCTTGATTCGTTTGGCTTGAGGGAGGATGGGGGTAAATTTCAGAGATGAGTAGGAGCTTGTTAAGTAAGCAACTTAAACCAAAGGGTGCCGAGCCTACAAGGGGGCCTGTGAGTGCACGTTGCTGCTTGGGACCTGCTACTCACAGGCAGGGTGACCAACCTACTCCCCTTTGCCCCTAACTGTCCAGGTTTTATTTTATTATTATTTTTTTGAAATAGAGTCTTGCTCTGTTGCCCAGGCTGAAGTCCAGTGGCGCAATCTTGGCTCACTGCAACCTCCACTTCCCGGGTTCAAGCAATTCTCCTGCCTCAGCATCCCAAGTAGCTGGGATTATAGGCGCCCACCACCACACCCAGCTAATTTTTTATTTTTTGTAGAGACAGGGTTTTACCACGTTGCCCAGGCTGGTCTCAAACTCCTGATCTCAAGTGATCCACTCACCTCAGCCTCTTAAAGTGTTGGGATTATAGGCGCGAGCCACTGTGCATGGCCTGGACTTTTAAATTAGATATGGAAATGTAAAAGAGACACTTATTAAATTAATTAGCATACAGTAGGTCATAATGAATTCCTGAAAAAAATGTCACTTTAGAAATCTATTGACATGGAAAGATGCTCATCATATATTTTTAAGTGGAAATAAGATGCAAAATTATTTCTAGATGGTAGTTTTTATGTTTTCTTTTTTGCCTTTTTTACTTTCTATAATGGACATGTAACCATGTAATAATAATTTTGTAATGAAAAAAATATAGGCCGGGTGCGGTGGCTCACGCTTGTAATCCCAGCACTTTGGGAGGCTGAGGTGGGTGGATCACGAGGTAAAAATCGAGACCATCTTGGCCAACATTGTGAAACCCCATCTCTACTAAAAATACAAAAATTAGCTGGCCGTGGTGCTGCACGCCTGTAGTCCAAGCTACCTGGGAGGCTGAGACAGGAGAATCGCGTGAACCCAGGAGGTGGAAGTTGCAGTGAGCAGAGATCGTGCCACTGTGCTCCAGCCTGGGTGACAAAGACTCTGTCTTAAAAAAAACAAAAACAAAACAAAACAAAACATATAAAGAAAACCTTACAGGGAGAAATGCTGAGTGCTGATTTGATGCTAAACAGCATCTCTCAAAAAAGACACTCTTCGAGTTTGAAATTAAAAATCCAAGAATTGTGGATGAAACAAACTGTCCACAGAAACACACTAGAGTTTCATTCTGCACATGCAATGGGAGCTTTCAGGAACACCCAGCGTTCAGCTGAGATGACCTGAGGCACTGGGGAGCTGGGGGAGGAGCTCCACAGCAGATCCCTTTGACCAGGTATCTCAGGGACTCTTTGAGATAAGATTACCCTAGTCTGAGAGCAAAGGTTTCCAGTCTGTGCTAGACTTATCTTTGTAATGGAATTTTTTTTTTTTTTTTTGAGATGGAATCTCACTTTGTTGCCCAGGCTGGAGTGCAGTGGCATGATCTCGGCTCACTGCAACCTCCACCTCCGGGGTTCAAGAGATTCTCCCACCTGCCTCAGCCTCCCGAGTAGCTGGGGTTATAGGCGGGCACCACCACACCCAGCTAATTTTTGGATTTTTAGTAGAGATGCGGTTTTGCCATGTTGGTCAGACTGGTCTTAAACTCCTGACCTCAGGTGATCCGCCTGCCTTGGCCTCCCAAAGTGCTGGGATTACAGGCATGAGCCGCTGCGCCCAGCCTGTTATGGAAATTGGTGCATCTGGGCAGGTGACACTATTCAATAACATGATGCAGTTAACGTCATTTAGCTCTGAGTCTAGGCTCAACAAGAAAGCTTTCCGCTATAATTTTATTTTCCACATAGAACTGCTCAGAATTTAAAAATGCAGTTTCATAGTGATAGAGTGTGGTCTATGCTAGGCATGGTGCTAAGTATACAACAGTGAGTACACAGCTCTCTTCTTCTCTGTCCCTAGGGGAGCAGAGGTAAGTAAATAAGTGATTAAAGTGTTGCACGTTCAATGCTACGATTGGGGAAGTAAGTGCGCACCAAGAGCGTTAATGTAGACCAGGAGTTTAGCAAAGATTTGCGGGACAAATTCATCAAACTGAAGCCCACAGGTTGGCCTGTCAAAAGGAGAAGGCAGGGGTTTTAAAGAATGACTCCAGCCAGATGGAAAAGCACGTATGAAGCATCAGGAGGGAAGCTTCTCATAGTAAATATAAACTGTAAACTGACGTTTTAGCTTTTATGCCCCGTTCTCTTAAGAGTTAGGTTAGCGTTAGTCTTTTGGGGCCCAGTCACCTCTTGATATAGTGACAAAATTGGTCCTATGCAGCTGAGGATGAGATCAGCGAGCATGGTGGGTCCCTCAAGCCAGTGCCACCCATCTGTATGGTCAAGCAGGTCTTCCCGGACAATACTCCCTGCTTTTTTTTTTTTTTTTCGGCATGTTATTTAAACCACAGCAACATTTCTTATTTTGTGTGAGACAGTTTATTCACAGTGGATTGAAAAGAGGCTCAATGTTGTTTTGAAATAGGATTTTCTTAAAAAAACTGAACATCGATATTCTCCACACTATCAGAAATGTTCTAGTAAGGGCAGATGGAGATGAGGCACGTCCACTACCCAAACAGGGATTGCCGGCTTTACCCCATGTCTAATGCTGTCTTCTGCATAAGCATTTCGCATTTGTGCTTATTCATTTCCACTCACAATATTAACCCGAATTCACACCCTGGACATCATCTGCACATATAGCGTGCGCGCGCACACACACACACATACATACACACAAACACATACACACACACACACAGCTAGCATAGCAACTTACCTTTATAGGAACACTTCTGGGGCTGTCTAGAAGATAATACAATATACGTATATGCAACATGAGTCACCCGCCTCTAACACGAATCCCTAAATCTACAATTGTGTGCTCAAATAGATATTCCTGGCACTTGTCATCACTTTGCATTAGTTTTGTGTTTTCTGTTATTTTATTCTGTAGTTTCCAATGACTGGTTCATTTTTTAACAATAGCGAACAATTACACAGTGCTTCGTTTATCCTACACACTGTTCCAGGTGCTTTAGGCAAATTAATTAGTTGTGACAACAACCTAACGTGGTGCATGCTATTATTGTCCCCGAAGCTCTTACACAGGTGCGTTTTGGAGGTGGGGTTCCCACCCTGGCACCCAGAGCTCACCCACTTTCTCTGCCCCCTTTTGCTCTATCATCACCTGGGCCACCATTCCCATGACCTTTGCATATCCTCGGAGTGTTTCCTGTGGCTACTGGCACCCAGAGGACCTCAGTGTGTACTTCTTTGCCTAATGTTGTGCAGGCCCTATCTCGGAATGTTCCATTCCAGATCCCTCCACCATGGGCTCATTGTGAAATAAACAATGCATGGCCACTAAAGCAGTTCTTTGAAAATGCAGCGTCAACACACCCACATTGACAGCAATGCAAAGTCACTGAAATTTTCTAGAATGACATGAGAAAAAATCCTTATAGATAGTCTTTTCCAATGCAAACTTCTCTTTTAAACACTTTTATTAGAAAAGTTTGCTAGTAAGGCAGGAAAGTAACTTTTAGATTTTTATGAATGAGGGTTTGCTTTTTGGAACCCTTTCAAATTTTGATAGCCTTAAAAAACTACTCTTATTTAACAAAGAGAAACAGCCAGCGGTAATCTGGAGCTTGGAGTTGATATGAGAATGGCTATTTCATCACCAGGTAATTCCTCCAGGTCACTGAATGGCTATTTCATCACCAGGTAATTCCTCCAGGCCACAAGTGAGGCCCATGGAGTAATACAGCCTGTGATTCCCTCCGTCACCCTTCACATTGATTGAAAATGTATCTTCAAAGACAGACTCAGAAGCTCTTTTGATGCTTTATTGACAATTTAAGTACAATCTTAGAGTTGTCAGATAATCTCAACACACTTCAGAGAAAAACAGACTTTTTCTGCAAAGACTTTATTTCTATTTTTTGATACATTCATATTTTGTTACACCCTTCCTGTGCAAATAATACTGTGATTCATGTTCATGTGTAGTGGATGATCTTGCTTTTTTGTTTTTGTTTTTTTTTTTTTTTTGAGACAGAGTCTCACTCTGTTGCCCAGGCTGGAGTTCAGTGGCGTGATCTCGGCTCACTGCAACCTCTGCCCCCCGGGTTCAAGTGATTCTCCTGCCTCAGCCTCCCAGGAAGCTGGGATTACAGGTGCCTGCCACCACGCCCAGCTAATTTTTGTATTTTTAATAGAGACGGGGTTTCATCATCTTGGCCAGGCTGGTCTTGAACTCCTGACCTCGTGATCCACCCACCTCGGCCTCCCAAAGTGCTGGGATTACAGGCATGAGCCACCGCGCCCGGCCTGCTCTAACTTATTTTAAGAATCACTGTTCTATTCTGGAAAGGGAAAAGACCACCACCAAGAAGGGAAAGGAGACCATGCTGGACAGCCTAATAGTCTAACAGGGGATCCTAGGGTGCCTGAGCTCATGGGAGCAAACCTTGTTCAGGCACCGCAAGCCCAACGCAGCATGCAGATTGGGAAGGCGCAATAATGCAAACACCATCAGGAAGAAAGCTATGGATGATGGAAAACACTGTGTGCTCCACGTGACAGAAGGGAGCCACCTGATTTGTCGCATCGGGCCAGTGTAAGGAAGTGTAATTTAGTGGGACTGCCAGTGACACTAAGTCAGGCCTTGATCAGGGTCTGGACTCAGTATGGACACGAGCCACTGGGTGCAGGGGGCTCATGCCTGCCACCTCTCTTTTTTTCCCTTACTATAGAGACTTTGATCTGTCCACCATTTCTATGTGAGCTTTGGGCTTCCTGTCACAGGTCTGTTGTCACCGTGGGGCCATGTTGGAGTCGGTAGATTTTCAGACAGTGAAGCCACATGAAGCTGTGAATGCTGATGTGGCTGCTGCAGAGCCCAGTCTCTCCCCGGTGCAGGGCCTCTGAGACGACGGGACTGTCCTCAGATGGTTGGAAGAAATGGGTTATCTTAGGCAGTTAGGAAAAGAGGGACAGGTGTCCCAGGATGTGGAAAACTTGAGTTCATCCCCTCTCTTCCCTCCAGCAAGGATTTCAGTGCTACATCTAAAAAGAGAAGCCCTGTTGCCGATTTAATAATTTACAGTCTCTAAATCCAAAAGGGCCTCCATGTGCTAGTGAGACTCATGCCCTCAGTTATGTTCACGATCTTCCTGAGAAGTCAGACAATACAGGTAGAACAAAAGATAGTGGTTGTACTTTCTCTTCTGCGTAGTGTGGGTAAGAGCATGCGGTTTGCCGCATGCAGTGTTGTTAATCTTTTGATTGTGTTGTGAATGGCTGAAAAAAAAGCTGAAAGTTTGATTGAACTGAAATCCAATCCATGTCAACATAAGGAATATTCTAGTGAGTTTACTGTCCTAAGAGAAGGTCTCTCCTGGGGAACCCCTGGTATGCAGAGCTCCCTGGGACTTGCAGATTGGACAGAGAGGGTGTGCCAAAGGGGTATAAACCCTTCTGATGGAGAGAGTCGGGCGTGTCTTCATTTTGGTAGTTCTGGAAAGGCTCCTCTTTAAAGATTCTGATTTAATAATGTTCACTTTTGTTAAGATTGAATATCATTTTGAAATCATTTCTAAACGTGTTTCCTTTATAGGCACTTTATCTATTAAATTTACAGTGGAGCCAAATGTATTAGCAAAATCTCCAAGTTGCAAAATGAATACTCAGAATCAAACTATAGATTTTTTGGTGATACTTTCAGAAAAACAATTTCTTTCTAAAGTTGCAAATCATGAAAGGGAATGAAAGTACATTAACTTGATTTCTTCCCTGTAATTCAAACATTCAACATTCAAATTAACTTTCATAATTTCTCACTTTGTGACAAGTTGATTTACGCATAGTTGGTATTTCATTAATGCGATTTATATAGATGGAATTCTTAAGGATAAACAAATGTTTTTGACTATTGCCTGGGGTTCTTTGGGAATAGATGCTTTCTGAAAATTTAAATAAGAACATTACTGTTAAAGCCATGAATCTAGTTTGGAGAACCCACTGCAGTTCATTTTACAGAGAAACACCTTGTCAATGGCATCTTCATGGTGTTTACTGAAGGTAAAAGGCAGGATATTAAATGTGAGAACTCTCTCTCCAGCTACTGATTCTGCCTGTCTCGAATTCAGGTGAGAATGACCCATACAGATACATGGATTGCACTTGAATCTGTGCTCTGGTATTTGTGTCATCCGGAGGCTGAGAACGCCTGTTGGTGGTGTCGCAGATGGCTCTGCTGTCTTGTGTGGACAAACTGAAAGGGATTCAGGAGCTTCTTCTGTAATTTTACTCTGCTGTTTTTCATGGACATAGTGAAAGGGATCCAGGAGTTTCTTCTGCAATTTGGCTGTAGTTGGACTTTGAAAAAAACTTGAAGAGTGTGTGTGCGCGCGCGCGCGTGTGTGTGTGTGTTTGAAAAGAGAATTAGAAAATGAAGGTAGACACTGGGTATGCTCCCCCAGGATGTGGCGATGGGGCGCCCGGCCGCCCTGGCTACACGTCGAACCAGTGGTCCCCCATGCAGACGCGGTTCCACTCGCAGCCACAGTTCCAGCACCACTCGAGCCTGCACTGGGGCTGCGGACACTTCATGTGCATGCAGCCTCCTGTTGGGGGCAGAAAACAAAGGTGTGGTGGGTTCGCAGCAAGTACCTGGAAAACACGCATTCCCAAACCAGCACGCTAGCCTAGACATCACTTTCTGAGCGAATAATCACAAGCAATACAAGGGCAGAGAGAAACTTAACTGAGGGGAAAAACTTCATAAAGCACAATAGGGCAGCTCTAAAGTGATGATATTCATTAAGAAATGAATGAAATTGAAGCATGTCACTTTTGTCGGGAACAAATTTTATTTGTAAATCTGACTTTATTCTCCTGAAAGGGGATTTAGAGACAAACACTTCATGTTTCATAGATAGGGGTCAATTCCTCATTTAAATATATTCAAATATTAATATATTTATATTTAAAATATATAAATATATTTTTATATATTTATATTTAAAATATATATATTTTTATATATTTATATTTAAAATATATATATTTTTATATATTTATATTTAAAATATATATATTTTTATATATTTATATTTAAAATATATATATTTTTATATATTTATATTTAAAATATATATATTTTTATATATTTATATTTAAAATATATATATTTTTATATATTTATATTTAAAATATATATATTTTTATATATTTATATTTAAAATATATATATTTTTATATATTTATATTTAAAATATATATATTTTTATATATTTATATTTAAAATATATATAAATATATTTTATATATTTATATTTAAAATATATATAAATATATTTTATATATTTATATTTAAAATATATATAAATATATTTTATATATTTATATTTAAAATATATATAAATATATTTTATATATTTATATTTAAAATATATATAAATATATTTTATATATTTATATTTAAAATATATATAAATATATTTTTATATATTTATATTTAAAATATATATAAATATATTTTTATATATTTATATTTAAAATATATATAAATATATTTATATTTAAATATATTGATAAAATTTGATGATATAACCTAATATAATGTATAATAATTTAAATATATTTTGATTTATTTTTGCTCTTTCTATAGTGCCACTTACTTGGCTTGGCCAAATTCATAAAACAGGAACTGGGATAGCATATTGTAATTATTATTATTTCTATTTTTTTTTTTGAGATGGAGTTTTGCTCTTGTCGTCCAGGCTGGAGTGCAGTGGCGAGATCTTGGCTCACTGCAACCCCCACCTCCCAGGTTCAAGTGATTCTCTGGCCTCAGCCTCCCGAGTAGCTGGGATTACAGGCGCCCACCAACATGCCCAGCTAATTTTTGAATTTTTCGTAGAGACAGGGTTTTGCCATGTTGGCCAGGCTGGTCTCAAACTCCTGACCTCAAGTCATCCTCCCGCCTCGGCCTCCCAAAGTGCTGGGATTACAGGCGTGAGCTACCGCACCCAGCCAGCATATTATTTTTAATAGGGAATATGTTCCTTAATGCTATCCAAAATTTTAATTAAGATGAGAGGGATAGAAAGGAAGTAATTAATAATGCTAGGTGTTCTATGTATATTATCTCATTTGCTTCCCAAAGCACTTTGAGATAAGAGCATCACTCTGCTATAGAATTTCCCCAAGGTGAAGCACTTTTAAATGGTGAAGACAATGATCTCACCAAGGTCTGTGTGATTCCAATGTCCTGTCATTCACAGAACAGGTTATTTTCAGCATAAGAGGAAAAGTCCCTTATCTTGGAACTTATTTTGGAATTATTCACCTCCCTCACTTGTTAAACATAGACTCCATGAGTTTCTGGAGTGCACACAGCCCTGCTTCAGTCGCTGTGGGGGAACTGAAGGGAGGAGGAAGTGATTTGTATGAGGATGTACAGAGAACTGTTTCTGTCCAAATTTCCTGGAAAACCCCGGCAAACGCAGTTTCTTTGCTTGAATCCCACCTAGCGTTGAAGGTGCTCCATTACTCACTCTTACCAATTATCTTGTTAATTGATTTTTCCTGCCAAATTTTCCAAGTAATTGGTTCGGTGCTGTCTCACTTTTATTATTAGAAACCTGGCATGAGAACTTTCACTAATTTAAAATATTTATGAATATATAGGAATAGGCATTTGTTTTAAGATAACTTGCCGACATGCAAAATCTCCTGTTTTCCTAATCCTTTCTGGCTTGTTTTAAAGATCATAAATTACAGATCTGTGGAAAATAAAGGAGAAAACTTACAACACTTTTATCTTCATACTTTCCACTTAGGTTTGTGCCATTTTCAGCACATATTGCATGGTTGTATATTTATGATGTAAATAATATGTTATATGGTGTGACATTATAAAACCACTTGTTTCTCTAAAATATCATAAATATTTTATCATATCATAAATATATCATTATTATATCATGTATCGTAAAATATATTCAATCAAAATTATTGAGCAATACATTAAAACTTAATGAACTATTAAAGCAATTCTAAATGAAAGGGTAAGAAACTTTCCTATTGTGATATTTAATATATATAAGCATATATAAACACAAATATGTATGAAGAGTGTGTGTGTGTGTGTGTGTGTGTGTGTGTATATATATATATATATTTTATTTTATTTTATTTTATTTTTTTGAGATGGAGTCTCGCTCTGTCGCCCAGGCTGGAGTACAGGGCGCGATCTGGGCTCACTGCCACCTCTGCCTCCCGGGTTCAAGCAATTCTCCTGCCTCAGCCTCTCGAGTAGTTGGAATTACAGGCACCTGCCACCACGCCTGGCTAAATTTTGTATTTTTAGTAGAGACGGGGTTTCACCATGTTGACCAGGCTGGTCTCAAACTCCTGACCTCGTGATCTGCCTGCCTTGGCCTCCCAAAGTGCTGGGATTACAGGCATGAGCCACCGCGCCTGGCTGATAGATGTGTTTTTCATACACAGTCCCTGGCTTATAACTCCCATAGCTCTTGTTACAGTCTTTTGTCATAATGTTGGGGCAATTCAGGCCTCAGAAACAGGCGCCAGAAAAGAGAATCTCTCCCTCCGACCTTTCCTTGCCCTCCTTTTACCAGCCCAGGGCAGGACTGGAACCATCCGCAGCTGTTCTGACTGTGGGTTATAAGACCCGGATTTCAGAAAGAGTCCTGTCCATCCCCTGGAGGAAGGAATGCTGCACAGGGAGGCCAAGAAGAATCTAGACCGGCAGGCCTTGCAGGGTCTCCCCACTCCATCTTTTAGCGTGAGATCAAAGCCTTTCTGTCCCACCGCATTTCAACACGGCTGTCCATGCTTCCATCGTGCCTATCCCAGGAAGTCTCCATAGAGGGCCCCAGAGGACAGGGTTTGGGGAGCTTCCAGGTTGCTGAACACATGGAGGTTTCTGATGGGCGGAGCACCCAGGGAAGGCTTGGAAGCTCCGCGACCCTTCCCCCATACCTCGCCCTCTGCATCTCTTCATCTGTATCTTTTGTAATATCCTTTATAATAAACTGGTAAATGTGTTTCCCTGAGTTCTGTGAGCCACTGTAGCAAATAACAGAACCCAAAGAGGGAGTCATGGGAATCTCAACTTGAAGCCAGTCGATCAGAACTTCCGGAAGCCCAGACTTGAGACCGGTGAGTGGCAGTCCTGTGGGACTGAGCCCCCAGCCTGAGGGATCAGACACTATTTCCTGGTAGACAGCGCCAGGGTTGAAGAGCAGGACACTCAGCCGGTGTCCACTGCAGAACTGATTGCTTGCTTGGTGCGTGGGGAAAAACCCCCGCACATTCCGTCACAGAAGTCTTCTGTGCTGACTGTTGTTATTGAATGAGAGAATAGAAGAAGCATGTTGTTTGTTCTACACTTAGACCGAATGCCAAAAATTAATACCAAGCATTTAATGAATCTGGGATACTAGCATTGTAAATGATATCTTGGTACAGAAGCTAGAATTACAATGGCCTGGTACAGTAAGAATGGAAATGGGAAGAGAAGATATTCACGTCATTAGCTTTCTTTTCTCCCTAGGGCTTAATATACACAAGGCCATAGAGCTAGACCCAGGCCATGGAGGAGCATGGAGGACCGCAATTCTAAAAGCTTTGCCAGCTTAAAAGTAAGTGCATCCAGGAAGCAGCTGAAACTTCACGCAGATTTGTGGATATAGACATGAAGGGAATATGGCTTCCTTTGTAGTGAGTTCTGTCTGCAGATGGACACTCAAACCATGAAAAGCTCAGCCTACGCCGGGCAGTCGACATCGTGGCTCCGGCCAGCAATTCTTCCACTAGATTTAATGAGAGCGTGGAAGTCCCTGAACAACCTGAAGGCACATTTGAGGAGAAGCACACACTCAGTCAGGGAATGGAGCCAGAATTTCATCTGCTTGAGATGGAAGTGAAGAAATTTCTGGAGACTGGAGTGGATTATAGGAGAAAGTACCAGGGTTTAGCCTGTGCTTAAAATGGAAATTCCTCGCATTCTCATTTCAGCTTCTCTGAGGGAGGAAGGGCATTCCTGAAACACAGCTGAGTATGTAACAGGCCACGAACCTTGGTGACAACCAGGTAACATCCTTGGTCATAGAGGCTATGTCGGTTTCGGTTACAGTGATGCACTTTTAAACAGTTTAGGCCATCGCTAATAAGCTTCAAGTCTCAGCTTTTCTGTTTGTAAGTTAAAAATTTGGAGGTAAAAAATTAGTGCTTTCATTTATAGTACATCACAATATTTCCAAGAAATAGCCCGACAGGGAGAAACTTTCCTACAGTCACGAACCATTTGACTCCTACAACTCCATCTTTGGAGGCTGCCAGCATGTTCTGAGTCCAGGGCAGATCCGATGAATAATTTTCCTGCTTCTCATCCTAGAATATCTGCCTGCCTCACAGGATCAAGTCCAAGCCCCAAACCTGCCATTCAGGGACCTCAATTCTGCATCCTACCTACTGCTTCAGCTGAGGCTCCTGCGTGCGGTGCCTGGAACACGAGCAGCAGGGGCTGCCTCCGCACACCGGCGCGCGCACACCCGGTGTCTTTGCTCATGCAGTCCTGGGGCCTAGGACGCCTCCTCCTGCTCTTCCTTGCCTTGCTCATATCTGCTCATTCTTCAATTCTTGGCTGGTATCATCTCTTCCAGGAAGCCTCCTCCTCCGGGTCTGTGTGCCCTGATAGCTTGCTTCCTCTATGTTATTTTATTAAAAAGATCGGTTTATGTGTATATCTCTAAACTTTACAAGCTAAGTTTTTGTGTGTTTGTGTTTTATTTATTCTTTTTGAGACGGAGTCTCACTGTGTCACCCAGGCC
The DNA here is from genome assembly GCF_000001405.40 of Homo sapiens. NCBI lineage: Eukaryota > Metazoa > Chordata > Mammalia > Primates > Hominidae > Homo > Homo sapiens. The sequence goes on from NC_000006.12 coordinate 161,355,450, forward strand.
GAAGTGCAATGGTGCAATCTTGGCTCACTGCAACCTCCACCTCCTGGGTTCAACCAATTCTTGTGTCTCGGCCTCCCGAGTAGCTGGGATCACAGGTGCCTGCCACCACACCTAGCTATTTTTTTTTTGTATTTTTACTAGAGACAGGGTTTCACCATGTTAGTCAGGCTGGTCCTGAATTCTTGAACTCAAGCGATCTGCCAGCCTCGGCCTCCCAAAGTGCTGGGATTACAGGCGTGAGTCACCACGCCCGGCCTACAAGCTAAGTTTTAATTCAGCAAATATTTTTTGTCCGGGCTCTCTTCTGGGATTGGAGCCTAGACGGTCAAGGTCCCTGATCTCACCGGCTTATGTTCTAAAGAGCGACAGATGGGGAACATGTAAATGAACAAATTAAGCAATGATCTGGGAAGGAAGTGGTGCTATGAAATTATTATTAAACTGGTGGGTGGGACTCGTTGGGTAAAGGGGGAAGCAGACACTGAGATGGAAAGGGAGGAGGGCAGACTGGGCAGAGGAGAAGCCCAGCTCGGGCACAGCCTAAGAGGCCTGAGCTGACGTCCAGGAGCTCTGGGGATGGGGCAGCTCTCAGGGTGGTCCTGAATTTCGTTAGTGGGTTGGGTATTATGACCAACCAGTAGTCATGGGACATGAGCTCTCCGGGGAAGGGGAGGGAGCCAGAACTAATTGTCTTGGCAGAGGTGATTTCCCAGAGGGCTCAAGGCCATCCACAGGCAGGCCCCCTGCAGAGGGAATGGCAGTGCCTCCCCCTCGAGAGATGGGATGGTGTTGACAGTGCCCCCCAACAGGAGGGCAGGGGTCTTTGGCAGGGTGGTAAGGGGCGGTCTGACTGAGAAGAGGTCAGCTGGGGTAAGATCTGAAGGACAGGAAGGAGCCAGCCATGGGCAGTGACGACACAGAAGCGTCCTGGGGAGAGGAGCGGGACTGTGTGGTTGCAATGTCAGTGGGGACCCCCGGGGGGAAGGGCAGGACTGACATGGCCTTTGAGAAGTCTACACGTCTATGTAGAGGACGGATCATAAATATGCGAGAGTGGAGGCGAGAGCCCTTTTGGGAAGCTGTGCTTGGAAGAGGAGGCGGGCAAGCAGGGCACTGGCTGGGGACGTGGAGTCAGAGGTGGGCAGACGCTGGATCAGAGCACGGGGAAGGCCGTGGTGACCGGGGATTGAATGCAGGGTGAGGAAGAGCATGGAATGAAGGATGAGCTTTAGCTTAGCGGCTTGAGGAACTGGGCGGTGCTGTTGACTGAGGTGGGGTGCACCCTAGAGGAAAAGGTTTTCTAGGAGCAGCTAGCACTCTGCTTTGTGAAATTTGAGCTGTCCATTGAACAATCAGTGGAGACACTAAGGAAGCAGCTGGCTATTGGAGTCGGACCGAGGGGCGAGATGAGGGTGGGGTGTAGATTTGGGAGCCATCAGTATGTGGATAGTATTTAAGGCCACAAGACTGGGCTGTATGTTATGTGTCACAAAGGTGAAGTGTCTCAGGTGTCCCCACAAGCCGACAGTAAGTGCTGAACCAAACAACCACGGAGGAGAGAAACAGAAAGCAACAGGTCCAGGTTCGCTGACCACTTCCTTTTTTTTTTTTTTTTTTTTTGAGACAGAGTCTTGCTCTGTCACTCAGGCTGGAGTGCAATGGCATGATCTCAGCTCACTGCAAATTCCGCCTCCCAGGTTCAAGTAATTCTCCTGCCTCAGGTTCCCAAGCAGTTGGGACTACAGGCATGTACCACCATGCCCAGCTAACTTTTCTATTTTTAGTGGAGACGGGGTTTCGCCATGTTGGCCAGGCTGGTCTCGAACTCCTGACCTCAGGTGATCCGCCTGCCTTGGCCTCCCAAAGTGCTGGGATTACCGGTGTGAGCCACCACTCCCAGCCTCGCTGACCACTTCTTATCTTGCAAACTGCCACCACCAGAGTCTGGGCTACCGAGGAGGCCACTAAGGCATGGACCCCAGACCTGCTGGGTAAATTCTCCACCTGCCGTGCCTGTGACGCCTGCCAGAAGTGGGAACATGGGTGGGTGTTTAAGGATCCCCTTTCCCTCCCCACTGCAGACAGAGACCTGGCTGATTTTTACTAATTTTCTAAGGTTATACGTCACACATGTTTATTACAGAAAAGCATAAAAAGAAATAAAGTCCTCTTTGGTCCTGTTATGCCTAGAGCTACTCACTATGACATGGTAACATCTTGTTTCCAGTCTTTTTCTTCTGATTCTATTTTTTCCCACACACACATTTGTTTCAAAACAGACATATGTGCCACTTGCTTTGAAATTCTGATTTCTCACTGAGGATGGATGTAAACCTTTCCGCCATGCCTTCATAACCTTCATCCACACGAATCAGAGCACGTCTCACGGAGCGTGTTTGATGCACCGTCTCTGTTACTCCTCCTGCCCATGCTGTGAGGAAGTCCCATTGAAACCCATCTTATGAACGAGCAAACTGGTGCTCACACAGCCACAGTCCATGGCAGAGTCCTAACTCCTGCAACACTGCAGTGCCGGGCTGTGTGAAGCTTTACCACCGATTTATCACAAAATAAACCAATCTTTCTCATACTGAGGCCTTTAGACACTTCGATGATTTTCAGTTTACGCTAATATAAATAATGCTGCAGTTGGCACCTTTTTTCCTAAAATGTGTGTGGGGGTGTGGGTGTGTTTGCCTATTATATATTTCAGGTTAGTCCTTTAGGATAGATTTTCAAAGGTAGAATTATTGGGTCAAATAATATAAAGTCTTTATATAGGTATTGCCAAAGTGGTTTCCAGAAAAGTTACGCTAACTTATGATGTCCTCACCAACCTTGAGAATTATTATTAAAAAACAAAACAAACAAAAATTAAGGCCGGGCACAGTGGCTCACACCCGTAATCCCAGCTTGGCTTTGGGAGGCCAAGGCGGGTAGATCACCTGAGGTCAGGAGTTCGAGACCAGCCTGGCCGACATATAGTGAAATCCCGTCTCTACTAAAAAATATAAAAATTAGCTGGGTGTGTTGCGTACACCTGTAGTCCCAGCTACTTGGGAAGCTGAGGCAGGAGAATCTCTTGAACTCGGGAGGTGGAGGTTGCAGTGAACCGAGATTACGCCATTGCACCCCAGCCTGGGCTACAGATCAAGACTGTCTAATCTCTGTGCTTTACACCCTTGTCAGCGAAATACCAGGCCTGTTTATCCCAAACCATCACATATCTTCTCCTGGGAAGGGCCCTTCCGTGTTCTTTCCCTCCCACTTCCCAGTGCACCCAGTGGTGGTGGAGACTAGAGAAGCTCTTTCCTTCCATCCCATCAGTGCCTTCTGCTCTTTTTTTTTTTTTTTTTTTTTTTTGAGATGGAGTCTCACTCTGTCGCCCAGGCTGGAGTGCAGTGGTGCAATCTCGGCTCACTGCAAGCTCTGCCTCCCGGGTTCACACCATTCTCCTGCCTCAGCCTCCAGAGTAGCTGGGACTACAGGCGCCCGCCACCACACCCGGCTAATTTTTTGTATTTTTAGTAGAGACGGGGTTTCACTGTGTTAGCCAGGATGGTCTCGACCTCCTGACCTTGTGATCCACCCGCCTCCGCCTCCCAAAGTGCTGGGATTACAGGCGTGAGCCACCGCGCCCGGCCGCCTTCTGCTCTTTATAGGTGCATGCCAATCCCTTCATTTTCTAGGAGCACTGCTGCATGCAATGGAGTAATAAGGACACGCTGGGTAAATTATTTATTTTCTCTGCAGGAAGCCACTGATACAGCACTAAGGACTTGTACTGAGCTAAGCCAGCACCTGCGGCTCTGGGATGTGTTCAAGCACCGTCTTGTTTGTATTAATGAAAACTTCCTGAAGGACATAACTGAAAAGAGAGAGGCTTGAGTGCCCATCCTGGGATGGCCGGGCTTCCCTCCCGCAAGTCAGCTCTGGGCAACCTGCCAGCCAGGGCGTAGCTGATGCTCATTAAGGAGAAGCTGGGAGAGGCTGCGCCTGGCTTCGTGTCATTGCTCATCTGTGATGGTGCCGCTGACTCTGCCTTGCACACGTACAAGTGCATCACATTGAGAAAGGGCTCTCGGACCACTGGTTGTGATGGCTTTGCCCTGAGTGGCATGTCCAGGATAGACAGCAGGAAGTCCCCCACTGGTACTGTGAGTCATCAGGGGCAGGCCACAGGGATCTTTAAATATAGACGAGGGTTTAATTTTGAATAATGTTGCAAAGCTGGGGAAGGCTACAGACTGACGGCCGGCAGACAACAGGGTCATACGGTGCAGCCATCAGCGCTGGGGAAGGTCACCAGGGAGGACAGAAAAACCACAGCTGCCTCCTGACTGCCACTTATCCTCAACCACTTTCCATATCTTGGTTCTAGTTTCTATATTTATTCCCTTTCCAACCACATAAATGCTAACTGTGTGCCTCACATAGCCATGGAACTACTCACTCATTAAATATTTCTGTGTAACAAAAACAATAATAATAGTGATAATGGGTAACATTAATCGAGGGGTTACCCAACACACCAGGCACCTTCAGACAGCATCTCCTTTAATCCTGGAATCCCTGATGGGTATGATTCTCCCCCAAAGAGCACACGACATCCTCATTCTCTGCTCAGCACAGACTCACCATTTTTTTCCACTGGTACATGGCAGCGGGGACAGGGCTTGGTGGTTTTCTTGATGGTTTCTTTGGAGGCTGCTTCCCAACGAGCCTGCTCGGCGGCTCTTTCATCGACTCTGTAGGCCTGGGGAAACAAAGAGGAAAGGCGTTTAATCTCAGCTTTCTATTACTGGGATCAGAGTTTATGTTCCCTGTACGTCGGTACAGGAAATTCTTGAAGACAGGAGTGCCTTCGGGCAAGAAGCCTAAATATCAATGCACTTGACAAATGCTAGACAGCTACTAGGCGGATGGGGACACTCTCCCTGGCATGTGGCGTATGCGTAGGAGCGGGGAAGAGATTGTTTGGTTTTGTAGTGTGAGCTCCTCTATTCTGTTGTTTTGCATAATTGTAATAAATAACACCTATCAGGTGCTTAAAATGCAGGCAAGGTGATCAATGCTCAAATACACTTCTCATTAGACACTTCATCAGATGTGAAGTGAGGATCTAGTTTTTATTCCACATTGAGGATTCGATGGGTGAAAACATGGCCCAAAGCTGGTAAGTGGGAGTATCAGTGTGACTCTGGAATCTTTGCTTTTAAACTTTGCTCTACATCTTGTTATCCTTCCTTGCACCTGGCAAATGGGGAACTCCAAATGTTGTCACAGAAGGGACAGGAGCAAGAACAGGAAATGAAGTCGATGTGCCAGAGAGGGCAGTGGGAGCTGTGAGTGAAGACTGTGGCCCTGGAACCAGCTGTCTGGTTCAAATCCCAGCTCTACCCAGACGGGTGACTCTGGAAACATTCCCTAAGCTCTCTGACAGTCTTTATCTCTCAGATGAAACACCTTGTGCATTGGGGGTATGGAGGATTCTATGAGTTAATTTCTTCAAAGACTCAGAATGACTCCAGTGTGGCAAGCTTTTAATACATTTGCTGACATTATTCATGTCACCGAGAGCTGGGTGCTGCCTGCACCATCATGTATAAGGAGGTTTTCTGGTGGGGGTGGAAGCAAGAGGTCCTGGGCTAGCTGTGCTTGACATCTGTGACCTTAAGGACCAGCCATTCGCTGATTATCCCCAGATAAGATGCAGCATCACCAAAAACATGAATCCAAACTTTGTCATTTCACTTTCGAATTCCAAGCCTTTTTGAAATGTTAAAGTTTTTGAGTCTTTATAGATGAAGTATTATGAGGAAAATAACTGTACTGCATTTAATAGTTTCTTTAGGAATTAGTGTTCATGTTTCTGTTATTTCTGTGGAAAGTCAATTCTTCCAGAGCCAAGATCACATTTGAGACATCCTCATATCCCCAGTTTCTGGCATAGAATCTGGTACACAGCAGGCGATCAGTACATTTCAGGCAAGTGAATGAATGAATGACGCAGCCCAGGAAGGCACTAAACTTTCAGGGGTTACCAAATTTCAGGGGTTACCAAACTTTCAGGGGTTACCACTAAACTTTCAGGGGTTACCAAACATCCAAAATAGGACCCCGTGAAATGGGCAGGGCACATGGGTGGTATCCCTGACAGTGGTGGGGGCACCACAGACAAGCTTTGCCTAGGGCTGGTCACTGGGTGAAGCCAATTTCGTTTCTGTTAATGAGCCATCATGGGCACAAAGGAAACACCCTTGAGAACTGCCAGGGTGTCACGTGATTTGTGAATACTTTGCTAGAATAACGTGGAGTCAGCTGCTCGGAGGCAACGGTAGGTCAATGAGTGCTTCCTTTGCTAAGATCCACTCACGGCAGAGGCCCAGTGAGGGCGCTGTGGTTAGTGAGGGCCATTTCACAACTTGGTAACTAGGTATGCATCTTCATGGCACGCCTTCCAGTCACCACAGAGTCTTGGGTGGTCCTAACCGTCAGTGACACGTGGCAAACACCCATCCCCCCACCGACCTGCACCCCAACGCCACCCCGGCCTCATGTTCCACGCTGTTCTTTTTCAGGTCTAGGGCTCTGTAGCTCTGCAGCAATGGTTTAGATTGCTTGTTGGTGGCAAGTTGGTAAGTCATACAAATTGGAGAAAAATACAATTTTACTTATCAGAAAATAATTTCAAAATGCCATTTTTTAGCAACATGGCATACTGCATGTGAAGGGCAATTTCTCCCAGGTCCACACACCTAAAAATGCTGGATCAAATATGGAAAAAAATCTTTTTTAAACGTACGGCTGATAGGGTGGGAAGGCAAAGGAAACCCTTAAAGACAGCAAATCCTCCTGGTTCGGGAGGAAGGAACCTGGCATTTGCTGTGGGGCTATCTTCTTAGTCCCGCGCTGCCCATCATCTGGGTCTTCCCAGGCCCTAAGGGCACAGGCAGGAGACAAAGCCTCCAGCCAGAGCCAGGTGGGAGGTGGAATCCAGTTTTACTACACACAGAGGACCTGGACTCCTGAGGGTGACGTTCTCAGTGGAGGAAGCCAGGGCAAAAGCCCGCCCTGAAGAGATAATTGACAGATATGTGCTGGTCTCAGGCTGGGTTCTGTGAGGCAGCAGGTTTGGAAAACATTTTTCTGAACATTCCTAACCATCAGGCCTCGGACACGAGGGTTGGTGAAAAGAATTCATCCTATCTGATTAGCTTTAAAAAACCTCAAGTCAAAAATTAATTTGAAATATTACCAGATTGGCATATACCCTGGAACCAGGCGGAAGCAAAAATATCTTTTGTGGAGCACAGCACTTTAAAAAGCCAAACCTCAAGGAAATTACACAAATAAAATTCTAAGAAATCTGGGATCATAATAAAAAAGTTAAAAAGTCACCTAATACAGGAGAAAACTAGCTACATGAGTGAAAGTCACAGAATTACAGAAACTACAGAATCTAACCAGCAAAGGTTGTAGATATTGGAATGGCCAGAGACAGAGTACTGGCCAGGCATGGTGGCTCACACCTGTAATCCCAGCACTTTGGGAGGCTGAGGCAGGTGGATCACTTGAGGCCGGGTGTTCAAGACCAGCCTGGCCAACATGGTGAAACCTCGTCTCTGCTAAAAACACAACGATTAGCCAAGCGTGGTGGTGTGCACCTGTAGTCCCAGGTACTTGGGAGGCTGAGGCAGGAGAAGTACCTGAACCTGGGGGGCAGAGGTTGCAGTGAGCCGAGATTTTGCCACTGCATTCCAGTCCCGGTGATGGAGTGGGACTCTGTCTCAAAAAAACTTAACTGAGTATAAACTAAATATGTTTGTTATATTTAAATAAATAAATAAAGGTGATGATAATGGAATAAGAGACTGTCACAATTAACCAGGGAGATGTAAAAAAGAAACAAATTTCTTTGTTTTGTCCATTTTTCTGGACATGAAACACTAATAATTAAAATTAGAAACTCAGTTGATGAGTTACATAACAAATTAGATACAAATGAAGAGAGAATTTGTGAACTGAAAGATGGAGCTGAAGAAATTACATAAAATGCCAAGAAGTAAAAAATATGAAAAGGAGATTAAGAGATGGGGGGATAAGGTGAGAAGGTCCAGTGTTTTTCTAAGTAGAGTTCTGGAAGGAGATAACAAAGAGCATGAGAGAGAAACAGTGTTTGGAGAGAGTGGCAAAAAAACACACAAATTATCTACAAAGAAGTTACAATTATTCCCCCCAGCTGATTTCTTAATGCATGGGTGCTGGCAGACAGTGATGGTATCTTCAAAGCACTGACAGAAAATACCAGCCCACTTAGAATTCTATCCAAGCAAAATTAATTTTTAAGAATGAGCATAAATAAAAACACAGTAATAAAAAACAGCATTTCCCATCAACAGAAGTTCATTAAAGAAACATGATTTGGGGCCGGATGTGGTGGTTCACGCCTGTAATCCAAGCACTTTGGGAGGCCAAGGCAGGCGGATCATGAGGTCAGGAGATTGAGACCATCCTGGCTAACATGCTGAAACCCCATCTCTACTAAAAATACAAAAAATTACAAAAAATTAGCTGGGCATGGTGGTGGGCGCCTGTAGTCCCAGCTACTCAGGAGGCTGAGGCAGAAGAATGGCGTGAACCCGGGAGGCTGAGCTTGCAGTGAGCCGAGATCACGCCACTGCACTCCAGCCTGGGCAGCAGAGGGAGACTCCGTCTCAAAAAAAAAAAAAAAAAAAGAAAAGAAAACAAACAAACAAACATGGATGTGGGAGGCCAAGGCAGGCAGATCACCAAGTCAGGAGTTTGAGACCGTCCTGACCAACATGGTGAAACCCCGTCTCTACTAAAAATACAAAAATTAGCTGGGCGCGGTGGTGGGTGCCTGTAGTCCCAGCTACTCAGGAGGCTGAGGCAGGAGAATCATTTGAACCGGGAGGCGGAGGTTGCAGTGAGCCGAGATCATACCACTACACTCCAGCCTGGGCAACAGAACGAGACTCCATCTGCCACCACCCGCCCCGCAAAAAAAAAAAAAAAAAAAAAAAAAAGAAACATGGAAATAGGAAAAGTCCAGAAGGAGCCAGGAGCTGCAAGAAGAAACTGTGAGAAAAGAAAAAGAAAATGGGTAACGTATGGTAAATCACAGGAAATACTGATTGTCTAAAACTGTAAACGATGCTTAATTTGCTGGTTAAAAAAAAAAAATCCAAGTAGGCTGTGTGTGGTGGCTCACGCCTGTAATCCTAGCACTTTGCGAGGCCAAGGCGGGTGGATCATCTGAGGTCAGGAGTTCAAGATCAGCCTGGCCAACACAGCGAAACCGTCTCTACTAAAAATACAAAAAGTAGCTGGGTGTGGTGCCCACACTACTCGAAAGGCTGAGGCAGGAGAATTGCTTGAACCTGGGAGGTGGAGGTTGCAGTGAGCCGAGATGGTGCCAGTACACTCCAGCCTGGGCAACGGAGTGAGACTTTGTCTCAAAAAAAAAAAAAAAATCAGAGTAGAACTAGATGCCGGACAAGAATAGCACAGAAGTGTGAGAATTGGATGATTCTAATGCGCTGGCATGATTCAGGCAGAGGGTCCTTAGATTTTTTTACATTAATATATGTTTACATTCTAGGGTAATCAATACAAGAGAAAGCAATTTGCTTCTAAACAAGGAAAAATACAGTGGAAATGGCAAACAAAAGAGTCAAAAGAAAGGCAAGAAGTAAAAGTAAAACTATAGAAATGTAGAATGTAATAGAAAGTATAAAATAAAATGGCAGAAATGACTGCAAATATCCCAGCACTCCCAACCCGTGTGGACAGATTATCATTGAGGGCAGGTCTTGCTAAACTCTAGAGTCTTAGCACTTATCTGGGAGGCCTTGTCTGCAAGAGGAGCACTCAGGGGCTGAAGTTTCTGGCTCAGGTGTGTGCACACCTAAAGCCTTTGTTACATGTTGCCAAGTTAAGAGCATTTTCAACTGGGCGAATACAATGTTTATTCTAACAAAGGATGTTATACTCAGCCCAAGAGAAAGATTCAGAGCTCAACTTGAAGAAACCTCCTGCCTGTCAATAGCACATTACTGGAGAGGAATTACAAACTGGAAAATTGCAAATTTATATTAATATGCTTTGTTCTGTCCAGGAAGAAAGATTAAAGTTACAGCAAAAGAAGAGAAATAATTACTTTTCAAAATACCAATTTTCTCTGACTTCCGATCCCCCGAGCACACAAGGCAGAGTGGGTATAACTTGCAGGCCCACCAGAAAGCCACTAGGATTTCCCCAAACGGCTCTGGATGTAACACCTCCAGCAGCAAGCGTCCTTCAAATCAGGACACTGCAAGTTTAATACCTAGGAGTGATTACAAAAGACTACCCGTGTAAACATTTCCACACTAGTGTGCACTGAGCTACTGGATGGGCCAGTTCACTCAGGGGAGAGGGAGGTAGCTAGGAGGGTTTGATCCTTAGACTGGAAGAGGGAAAATTGAGAGCAGCAATTTCTGTTTTCACCTGCAAGGATATGTACCCTTATCATTTCCTTCACAGACTCTGCAACTGGGCCAATGTTACTTCTTCCCCGGATCGATATGTTGAAATCCTACCCACCAAGGTGATGCTACTGGAAGGTGGGGCCTTTGGGAGGTGATTAGGTCATGAGGGTGGAGCTCTTATGAAGGGATTCGTGCCCTTATTAAAGCAACCCCAGAGAGCTCTCTTGCCTCTTCCACTGTGAGAAGATGCAGTGAGATGCCAGCAGTTTGCAGGAAGAGAGACCTCCCCAGATCTAGAGCCTGAGGTTGAGGCTTCCTGGGCTGAGCTTTGGTTCCTGTAAGCCATGGGCAGCAGCGTGGGTTAAGAGGCACCCTCATGTCCACAGGACACCAGAGCTGCTGAGGGGCCGAGGCACACGTGAGCCAAGGAGTCAAGGACCCCCTCATGGAGATGCCCACACTGAAGGTCAGAGACAGAGAAGAAAGCCTAGGGAAGAGAAAATACCCCAAACCCTAGGAAAAGACCAAAATGCTGATGTCGCAAAATGGTTTTTAATACTGTTAAAGCAAACTAAGTATGGCCTAAGAAGGACTCCGTACTTCTGTATTTGAGTCCTTGTGGTCGAACTTAGCCAAGATTGAAAACCCAACTTAGGAGTGTGTCTGACTTAATATGTAGACAAGATTGAAAGTCTAACTCTAGAGTATGCAACTGTAACAACAGCTGGGTCTTGGCCAATCCCAGCAGCCATGCTTCAGCCACTCATACACTGCTGAGTGTTCAAACTGTGTTCAAATGAGGCCGACACCAACTTGTAACCAGCCCGGGTGTTTCTGTACCTGACTTCCGATTTCTGTCCATCACTTCCCTTTTTGTCTATAAATTTGTTCTGACCCCGAGGCACCCTTGGAGTCTCTCTGAATCTGCTGTAATTGTGAAGGCTACCCAATTTACGAATCGCTTTTTTGTTTTTTTTCTTGCTCAATTAAACTCTGCTAGATTTAATGTGTCTGAAGTTTTTTGGGGTTTTTTTGTTTCCTTTTTTTTTTTTTTTTTTTTTTTTTTGAGACAGAGTGTGGCTCTGTCGCCCAGGCTGGACTGCAGTGGCGTGATCTCGGCTCACTGCAAGCTCCGCCTCCCGGGTTCACGCCATTCTCCTGCCTCAGCCTCCCGAGTAGCTGGGACTACAGGCGCCCGCCACCACGCCCGGCTAATTTTTAGTAGAGACGGGGTTTCACCATGTTAGCCGGGATGGTCTCGATCTCCTGACCTTGTGATCCACCCGCCTCGGCCTCCCAAAGTGCTGGGATTACAGGCGTGAGCCACCGCGCCCGGCCGTGTCTGAAGTTTTAACAGTACCAAGCTAGGGGAGGGTGTTTTAGCCGGCAGGACAGCTACCCACTTTCTTTTGCAGTGGGGGTGGGGTTCACGCTGACCTCCTGGGACTGTCAAGGGCCCAGGCAGATCTTGGCCTTGATTGGAGAGTTAGGGGTTACGGTGTAGAAAACTAATAAGATGTGTCTTTTCTTTTTTTTTTTTTTCTGGTAGACAGTATGTGCTCAAAGGTTATGGTTTTATTCCTCCATAGGGCATGAAGCAGTTCTGTTATCTAACTTAGAAGTCAAAGTTCAGCATTCCTTTCCCAATGAACGACATGGCATTCTGTTCCTCAAACGCTACTTGTGCTGATTTTCCCATTAATCTGATGACTCAGACCTCGGCACGGGCTAACACAGAGCTGTGTAGGCATGGCGCTGGGACAGCTGCAGGGTGTTAGAGGGAGGGGCGGCCGGCGGGTCCGAGACCCTGCTGCCCAGGAGGGGAAGGCTTTGAAGAAGTAAGGACGCTTCTGTTACATGAGGAAGGGCACTGTGCGGCAGGGGCTCTGCCCACATCACAGAATGTAGTAACTGCGCATCCCTGAAGGACGGAGCTTGTCATTAACTATTTCAGCTGGAGAGATCAGTCTCAGAAAACTAAATAACTTCAGACCCAGGCCGCCTGGCCTGCGAGCAGTCGGTTCAGAATCGGAGCCCCGAGCTGCCTGGGTTCATACTCCAGGCCCCTGCAGCCTTGATTTCTTCCTGTCATTATCAAGTCACATGCTACAAAGAGGGCTAAGGGACTAAGGCTAAGATGCTGTCATGGAGATCTGGAAGTCCCCGGGGACTTTTGAGAGCACAGTTTTCAAACAGCTTGTGGCCAGGCGCAGTGGCTCACACCTGTAATCCCAGCACTCTGGGAGGCCAGTGCGACGGTCAGGAGTTCAAGACCAGCCTGCGAAACATGGTGAAACCCTGTCTCTACTAAAAATACATATAATATTTATATATATGTATATATTTATATATATTTATATATATTTGTATATATATTTATATATATTTGTATATATATTTGTATATATATTTGTGTATATATATAGCAACCTCAGTCTTGATATATATATATATATATATATATATGCTGGGCCTGGTGGCGCACACATATAGTCCCAGCTACTCAGGAGGTTGAGGCATGAGAATCACTTGAATCCAGAAGGTGGAGATTGCACCGAGCCGAGCTGGTGCCACTGCAATCCAGACTAGGCGACAGGGCAAGAATCTGTCTCAAAACAACAACAACGAAAGCAACTACCACCACCACCAGCACCCAGCTTGTGGTAAAGACAGTGGGAGAAGCCACCCAGCCCCCCTCCCCTCACTGCAGTGGCTCACCTGCCCTCCACTTGCCTGCTTCCCCTGGCACCAGCACTGCAACTCCACTCCCAGCTGCCCACCCGCCCTTCTGCCCTGGGCCATCGCTGCTGCCTGGCCGGTTCTCCCTTCCCCAACCTGCCGAAAGTGCTTTCAAGAAGGACACCAGGAGGCCACGGCTGCCAAAGCTCATGCCCTTTCTTTGTCATTGTCTCCAACTGTCCCACTGCACCTAACATGTGGGAAAGGGTCACCAAGAAGGCCCTTGGAGTTCCTGCCCTTCTCAGCATCACAGCTCTTCCTGTGCTTCCTATCCTCACCCAGCGGATCCACGGGGAGGGAGGGGAGTCCCAGACCCAGTGACTGCTGCCACTGCTGCCAGCCCCAGGGACCTGGGGGGCAGGAGAAGCAGCTCTATGACACCCCGGGAGTGGGCGGTGCCCAGGCCACTGGTTTAGACCTTTGACTGCCACTTCCGAGAGGGGATTTCTACCAGGAGGAGCACATCTTTGCTTTGCATCCTTCATGAGTGTCTTAATGCTGATGTTTAAATCCTTCTGGAGTGATCTCAAGCAGTGGCTGGGTGCCCACAGGTTCAAGATCACCAAAGCGATTCTAAAAATGATCCCAAGGCTTGTGTCCAGACTCTGGAGATTGGGATTCAGTAGGTCTGTGGCGGGGTACAGAAATTAGAATCCCTAAAAATGCCCTAAGGGGTTGCGAGGGGCGGGAGGTTTGGGAACCATTCATCCTCTGGAGGGCGATTCTCCCTTTGCGCCTGAAGAGGAACATGGTGAGCTGGGTAACTTACCCTCTGTTCCCGCCTTAGTCATCAAGCTCTAAAGCAATGCCTGCTTATTGTGTTGCCAGGAGGGGAAGGTTTTGTTGTGATTCAGCATCACCGCCCGATTGTGCAATAAAGTGTGGCTCTCACGGGGCAGTGTAACTGTTAGGTAATTGCATAGAATTCTGTGCCTGTCTACTGCTCACCCGTGGCAGGAGGAATTGCATGCATGCATGTGTGTACGCACGCGTGGTGGAGGTGGGGGTGGAACAGGACAAGTCTCTCTCCTAATATACTTCATGGCTGAAAATAGCGATTTCATAAATATATATATGAAACATCTATAATATACTTATATATAGATGTTTCATATATATATTTCATATGATTATAGGAAATATATTTCATATACATATAGAGAGAGACAGAGAGAATCAAAATTCCCTCAGAAAGGTAAAGGCATGATCGTCCATCTGTGGCTCAAGAGGAATAACCTCACAAGGGTCATCGTGAGTAAGATCAACACACAAACGGCTTAGCACAGAGCCAGGTGCACCCTGAATGCTAACCGTGTGTTTTCTATGATCACCACCATTATTACTTTGTTATTGTAATCATCACGATCATCTCTAAAGAGATGGGAATATGACCCTGTGGGAGTTTGTACACATGGAAAAGACCACTGAAGGCCTGGATTGGCCTTAAATCTCCTTTAAAAACACAAGTATGGGAGGCCGAGGCAGGAGGAACACTTGAGTCTAGGAGTTCAAGGCCAGACTGGTCAATATAATGAGACCCTGTCTCTATAAACACACACACACACACAAAACTCCACTGGTAAATCAAAATGTACTTATATAGGTTTTAAAAGCTGAATTAGGCTGGGCACGGTGGCTCACACCTGTAATCCCAGCACTTTGGGAGGCCGAGGCGGGTGGATCACGAGGTCAGATCAAACCATCCTGGCTAACACGATGAAACCCCATCTCTACTCAAAATACAAAAAAAAAAAAAAAAAATTAGCCGGGCGTGGTGGCAGGCACCTGTAGTCCCACCTACTTGGGAGGCTGAGATGGGAGAATGACGTGAACCTGGGAGGCAGAGCTTGCAGTGAGCCGAGATCGCGCCACTGCACTCCAGCCTGGGCGACAGAGCAAGACTCTGTGTCAAAAAAAAAAAAAAAAAAAAGCCGAATTAGCGCCTAGGAGACACATTGATATACATTGAAGCTAGAATAACTTAAGGAACTGCATATGTGTTATCTTTCCTGCTTTAAGAGAAACTCATTTGTGACACCTGTGTAGCCAATAATTAGACAAGTCTATTCTAATCCTAAAAATCCATTTAAGCCTGTTTTCCAAAAAAGAGCAGTTGTCATTAATCATGAAAACAGAGTTGGCTTAATTCAGCTATGAATGCTTTCAGGTGAATGACAGCTTTTAAATGTCAGCTTTCTCATCAACGCTCGCCTCTCTTCTCACAAACACTGAAACCTTCCACCTTTGCAGACAGCAGCCTTCCTGGCTCAGTCAAGCAGGTGGGCCAGTTGAGCACTGCTGCGTGTGAGCAGCCCGCCTCCTGCTGGTGAGTAAGAAAATGGCATCACTTTTCAGGGGCCTTGAGCTAGTCAACGTTACTGCTTGGCAACGGGTGTCACCAAAACATGTTTTGTTGTTCTCACATTGTCTTATGACTATCTCTTTTTGGAGAATATGTATATATGTATATATTTAAATGTATTTTGTTATTTTTTTTTTTGAGACGTTGTTTCGCTCCTGTTGCCCAGGCTGGAGTGCAATGGTGAAATCTCCGCTCACTGCAACCTCCACCTCCTGGGTTCAAATGATTCTGCTGCCTCGGCCTCTCAAGTAGCTGGGGTTACAGGTGCCTGCTACCACACCCGGCTACTTGGGAGGCTGAGGGAGGAGACGGAGTTTCACCATGTTGGCCAGGCTAGTTTTGAACTCCTGACCTCAGGTGATCTGCCCGCCTCCGTCTCCCAAAGTGCTTGGATTACAGGTGTGAGCCACTGCGCCCGGCCTATTTTGTTATTTTTTTTAAGAGAAATCATCAGAGTGTTGGGATTTAATGGGGTGTCTAGCCAAGGGCTCCGGGGAATACAAGGCTACACTGTAAGCAATACAAGGCTACTCCACTAAGCTCCAAACTCCCCAAGCCATGCTTTAGAATGCAATTCAGAAGGGCATTTGTTTTTATTTATTTATCTATTTTTGAGACGGAGTTTTGCTCTGTCACCTAGGCTGGAGTGCAATGACACAATCTCGGCTCACTACAACCTCCACCTCCTGGGTTCAAGCGATTCTCATGCCTCAGCCTCCTGAGTAGCTGGGATTACAGGCATGCACCACCCCACCTCGCTAATTTTTGTATTTTTAGTAGAGATGGGATTTCATCACTTTGGCCAGGCTGATCTCGAATTCTTGACCTCAGGTGATCTGCCTGCCTCGGCCTCCCAAAGTGCTGGGATTACAGGCATGAGCCACCATGCCTGGCCCAGAAGGGCATTTTTGACAATGATTCTAACAGTGGTGATTTCTGCTAGGAGTGGAATGTGTGCCAAGTGCCACAGACGAGATCTTACAGAGTCTTGCCCCATGGGGCCCTAAATGCTTCCTAAAGGGGAAGTGAATTAAAATAATATCTATCAACCTATTTTGAGATTAATGGGGGAAATGGAACAACATAAATATTAAGTAGCAGAATTATTAATAGGTACCATTTATTGGTTATTTTAAAAGTGCTTTGTGTTCAACTATTGTTACAAGTTGACATATGGGAAAAATCTACACTTGAGCTAGAAAATATGCTGATTTGTATTTTTGATAATGACATTCTCTAGTTTTTGGTTGGCTTAGGTCAGCAGTGACCAAAATTATCCACATAGATGGGATTCTGAATGCGGAATCATCACTAATAGGATGTGAGAGGGGTCAAAGCCGACCACAGAGCCTACCTTTTGTGCAAAGTATAGTTATTCTGGCACAAAGTAGACTATTATTTTTGCTAGAGTGAATGCAGAAATATTTTCATTCAAGAAACATGTGTTGGGTGTCTAAGATGTGCCAGGCACTGTCCTGGACCCTGGGGATACATCCCAGTAAACAAGAGAGATGACAAATAGCAAGCCAACAATCCCTGCCTTGTGGAGCTTCCCCATTAGCAGAACGGCGGCTCTCAGACCAGCGGCACCGGAAGCGCTTGTGCTGTGGCTCCCCCACTACCCCTCTGGGTCTGAATCCATAGGTCTGGGATTGCGCTCAAGGACTGGCAGTTCAACAAATTCCTAGGTGATGCCGATGTCGCTAGCCTGCAGAGCTTCGGAGAACTACTGCTCGCAGAAGG
Organism: Homo sapiens; assembly: GCF_000001405.40. NCBI lineage: Eukaryota > Metazoa > Chordata > Mammalia > Primates > Hominidae > Homo > Homo sapiens. The sequence continues at coordinate 161,372,787 of NC_000006.12, forward strand.
TCTACATACACTGTGGTCAACAAAGACAGAGAGACCCTATTTTTTTTTTTTTTTTTTTTTTGAGACAGGGTCTCACTCTGTTGCCCAGGCTGGAGTGCTGTGGCAAGATCATAGCTCACTCTAGCCTGGAAATCCTGGGCTCTCGAGTAGCTGGGACTACAGGCACATGCTTCTGTCCTCTGCTGATCTTTAAAAAATATTTTTTGTAGAGATGGGGTCTCACTTTGTTGCCCAGGCTGGTTTCGAATTCTTAGCTTCAAGTGATCCTCCCACCCTGGCCTCCCAAAGTGTGGGGCTGCCGGTGTGAACCACCACACTCGGTAGGGCAGAATTTTTCTCTTCTCTGGGAAACCGAGGTCTTTGCTCGTCAGGCCTTCCATGGACTGGGTGAGGCCCACCCACATTATAGAGGGTCATCTCCTTGACCTCAAAGTTAACTGAGTATAGATGTTAACCACGTCTACAAAAATACCTTCACAGCGACACCTTGACTACTGCTGGTTCCAACAACTGGGCTGTGTGGCCCAGCTACATTGACACAGAAAATTACCCATCACAGCTAGGCTGAAACTCATGTTTAAGACTAGATCTGTTTGACTTCAAGCCCCCTCTGCTTGTCTTGGATTCCTCAGACACGGGTGGGAACACCTAGTCCTTGCTGAAAGAAGGTAAATGCAACCCTGGAGAACAGCAGTGCTGAGCCTAAATGGGCTATGCCTCTGTGCTTACAGGGGTGCTGAGTTTAAACGAGCTATGCCTCTGTGTTTGCAGGGGTGCTGAGTTTAAATGTGCTATACCTCTGTGCTTTGCAGGGGTGATGAGTTAAATGGCCATGCCTCTGTGCTTGCAGGGGTGATGAGTTAAATGGGCTACACCTCTGTGCTTGCGGGGTGCTGAGTTTAAACGGGCTATGCCTCTGTGCTTGCAAGGAACAAGTGTAGAGCAGGTGAACCGTTTTCCTCACACATGGTCAACATGCTTTTCTGTGGAGTGACAATATTTTGTCCCCCCTGCCAGCCCCGTTTTTAATGAAGGAATTATGGGGGCCAGGATCCAGCTGTTAGCTTTTCAAATCTGCACACCTCTCAGAAATGCTCCTCCTGGGGACACAGTCCTTCGATTCCCTCTTGCCTGTTGTCGGCTGGGCCACTATGCAGGCGTGGCTGGGGTGCCTTTCAAAGTGGCGTTCACTCCCTTTTCCCCCAGGTCATTTTATTTTTGTTTCTGGACAAATCCAGCATTTTCCTTAAGGGTTTAGCGCCATCTGGTGCATCAGAGGCGCACTGCAGCTGCTTCCCTCCTGATACTGAGTGGGGTGTGCAGAGAATTGCCAGGGGCGCTTTCCTTTGAGGAGCTCCAAATGCCCGTGGGGTATGCGGTGTGTATGTGAGTGGCGAGTGTGTGCAGTGTTATGTATCTGTGTGTGGTGTGTGTTCTGTGTGTATGTGTGTTGTGTATATGCGTATGCTGTATGTGCAGTGTGTGTGGTGTGTATGTATGTGTGTGTGGTATATGTGGTGCGCGTGTGTTGTGTGTGTAACGCATGGTGTGCATGTTATGTATATGTGTGCGCCGTGTGTGTTGTGTATGTGTGGTGTATGTGGATGTGGTGTGTATGTTTATGTGTGTGTGGTGCATATGTGTGGTGTGTGTGATGGGTGTGTGGTGCATATGGGTGGTGTGTGTGATGGGTGTGTGGTGTGTGTGGTGTGTGTGATGTATGTGTGGTGTGTGTAATGGGTGTGTGGTGCATGTGTGTGGTGTGTGATGTGTGTGTGGTGTGTGTAATGGGTGTGTGGTGCATGTGTGTGGTGTGTGTATGTGTGTATGTGTGTGGCATGTGTGATGTATGTGTGGTGTGTGTGTATGTGTGATGTGTGTTATATATGTGTGGTGTGTATGTGTGATGTGTGCGTTATGTTTATGTGTGTGGCATGTGTGACATATGTGTGGTGTGTGTGTGTGTGTGGTGTGTAGCTGTGACAATAAGTTTCTATAAAAATATTTTCCACATTGCGAACTTGTTCTAGCTGCTTGTTTATGGAGTCTAGTACACAGGGTATACAGGGTATAGACTTGCAAAGTCGGTTCAGAATTTACATTCAGACCTTTTTTACCAACTCTGCTGGGATCCTGAAACCCCTCTGGAATCCAAAAGCCTTCAGGACAGCATCATTTTCAGAGGAGGGTCCCATGTGTCAGGCCAGGCAGGCATCTGGTGGAGGCTGCACTGTGGCCGTGCAGAGGAAGACTCAGGGGACCCGCAGGCTGTGACCCCTACAGGTGAGTGAGCTCAGGGGACCCGCAGGCCGTGACCCCCACAGGTGAGCGAGCTCAGGGGACCCGCAGGCCATGCCCCTCAAGGCAGAACTCCTGGGGGTGGAGGGAACCCCCCGGGGGTGCTGAGGCTCCTGCAGAGGGAGGACGCCCCTGGCCGGAAGCTGCACCCCAGGGAAGTGCGTTGCAGAGCCTTGGTGCTCTGCCGTGCTGGAGTGACAGTCCAGAAGAGAAGAAGGGTTTCTGCAGTGCAGGAGAGCGCTTGGAGAGCCCCAGCCCCAGGTCTGCATGGTCAGGATCGGCCTCCAGGGGCAGGCGTGTGGTGTCACTGTGTGTGTACCCACGCAAGCATGCCTTCACTTGTCTTTCAATCCCAGTCAATCTTATCTTTCCTTTCCTCTCTCCACAGTGCCTGACAGTTTTAGCATTCAGCCTTAAAAACCCAAACCCCCAAGTTTCACCATTTTGTAATACTTTGCAACTTACAAACGGCGAAACACACACTCATTTCATTATTTATAGCTTGGTAGATCTTACTGGCTCTGTGTGGCAGGCGACGAAAAGGCTGTGAGCCTTTGAGCAACTTGCCTGGAAGAGGAGGAAATGAAACCGGGCCTTTGACGACCTGCCAAGGGCCATTTCTGCTGCCCCAGAGCAAACCTTCGCACACAAGCTGAGTGCCTTGGAAACGCACTGCAGAGGGGCGGGTGCTGTCCTGGCACTGACTCAGCTTTTCACAGCGCAAGGCCGAGCCCGAACGACGCGCTGGCTTTAATGGAGATCTGTCGCAGCCGTTCCATCCCATCTGCACATCCACTTAGGCGGCGGGTCCAGGGTCATGGATTCAAGAGAAGTGGCATCAAACCTGCTTTACTTAAACCAACAAGCAGTTCAGAAAATACACTCCCAAATAACCGGGGATCTAGATCTCCGGGAATAATAAATTACACCCATCTCCCAATACTGGGACTGCATTTGTGTGTGAAGGCAGTCAATGGCTGAGAGACGGCTCTGCGGTGAGATGCTGGGGCAAAATAGATCAAAAAAGATCTCAGCTCCCTGGAGCCACTGCTGCTTCAGTGTCCTCCACTGAGGGAGGTGCACCTCCTAGCCTCTCCTGGACTGTAACTCTGAAGGGGTGGGTGTGGGTGTGGGGAGCATGGATAAGGGGCAGTTCGTTGGAGATTGTCAGTCTTGCATCTTGATCGCTGGCTCCAGCCTGGATTCTCCTCTGAGGTGGTCTAGGCATCCACTCCTTTCCCCACTGAACCCCTAGCTGAGATGTCCACAATGAATGTGTGTCTCCCCGAACAACCTGCTTTTGTTTCTGTCTCCTCTTCCAGCCAATGGCACCACCATCGTTCTAAGCTAGACATTCATGCATCAACATTAACCCGTCTCCTCTCATCCTGTCTTCTAATCCACTGCCAAGTTCTGCAGATCCGACCTCAAGCCCATCCCCTCCTCTGTATTCCCTGGCCGGATTCCTGGTGCCTGGTGTGTCTCTGGTTTGGCCCTTTTAGGGGGTGCTCTGCTCTGCTCCCAGTCCCACCACCTTGGGACTGAGGTCACACCGTCACATCACGGCGATAGGGCAGCTCACGCCCAGTGGTGGAGGGTGGATGCGAAGGGCTCACCTCTAGCCTCCTACCTCTGGCTCCCCTCAGTCTTCTGTGGCAACCGCACTGCAGTGGGACTCCACCTCTGCCCAACCCTGCTTCCTTCTCTTCCTGAAGGTGCTGTTGAGAGCACCCCAAGACACTCCCTGCCTGCAAGTCTCAGAGCCTGTTCTCCTGGGAACCTATAACCTGTGGCACTTGGTGCCTGGATAGTCCTAGGAAGCAAACTCTAAAATGGAGTTAGAGCTGGAATCCCTCCCGCCAGTGGCCAAAGAGGAGCCTGTCACTGTTGGAAGAAAGTGCTGGAAGCTCTGAGTGGGGCCCCGAGGAGCAAAGGGCAGGGTCAGGCGGCATGCAAGCGCCCTGTCTCTGCGGCTGTGCACGCAGGCAGACCCTGTGGATTCCAGGTGTCTGTGGAGGGAAAAGAGGTCACGTGGGGCTACCTGCGGGCCAATAAGAGCATCCCAGCAAAGATTTTGGGGGTTCAGCAGCTGAGAACGATGGACCATTTGAAAGAGAGCCCCTGGCACGCTACCGAGCCCTGTGGAGTTGGAGCATCTGTGCAGCAATTGTCATAAGACAGAAGTGGGGCATCTAGGCCCAGGCCCAAGCAGGCCCACGGGGCGTGAGCGAGCTGCACAAGCAGGTCCTCAGACCCCCGTGCCATCCACACCGTGGCATGACTGCCTCTCCTTGGGCTCACAACCATGGCCCCACGGTGGTAGTGGCCGGGCTGGGGAGATTCCTTATGACACACTGAGGGATCCAAGCTTGGTTCACAATTGAGTTAGCTTAACATACGGCTGCAAGCCAAAAATGCACTGTCGCTATCCTGTAATCCTCTTTAGGGTTGAAAGAGTGGTGAGGGGAGACCCTGTCAATAAGCAGAGCCTTGGGCAACGCAACTGCTATGGTCCGAGTGTTTGTGTCTCCCCAGATTCCTATGTCGAAACCTAATCACCAAGGCGGTGGGATTAGGAGGTGAGGCCTTTGCAAGGTGATTGGGTCATAAGTCAGAGCCCTCGGGAATGGGATTAGTGCCCTTATAAAGAGAGGGCATTAACCAGTCACCTCTCATCCTGTGAGGCCCCAGAGAGCTGTCTTGCCCCTTCTACCATGTGAGGGTATAGCTAGAAGACGTCATCTACAAACCAAAAAGTGGTCCCTCATGAGACCCCAAATCTGCTAGTGCATTCATCTTTGACTTCTGAGCCTCCAGAACTGGAAGGAATAAATGTGTGTTGTTTATAAGCCAGCCAGTCTACGGTATTGAGTGACAGCAGCCCAAACAGATGAGGCAGCAGCTGACAGTGGACTGTGTGTGGAAAGGAAAGAGTCCTGAGTTAGGAAGAGATACAAGCTCCTAAGCAGTGGCAAACGTCTTGGCAGCCTCTTTAAGGGCAGGGACAGAGAAAATCTGGAAGACTGAGGACAGGTAAGACAAGGAGCTCTGCAGAGCAGGCACGTGGACAGACCCATGGGAGGGGCAGGACATGTCCGCATGTTTGCACAGCATGGCAGAGCTCACAGGAGAGCACTTCAACAAGCAGATGGAGGGATCCGGCCAGTGGACCACTGCCAGCCTCCGCCACTGGCCACAGCAGTCCTGGGCCAGGGCACTCCCGTGTGGAGGAAGCGTGGTGGTGAGGTGAAGCCCTGCCAGGCCCCCCAGCTCGGGCATCCCCCCATCTGCCACACCGCCAACATTCAACCTGCCGGCAACAAAGAGCGGCACGGAGTCCTGTGTGTCCTCCACTCCTCGAGGAGACCAACTAACTGGCCAGTGGGTGTCAGGTGGATCACAGTGACACCAGGGAAGATGAAGACACTCCATCTTGACAGGAAGTGACTCCTTTTCTGGGTGTGGGTTTGCCTTTCTTGGCAACAGAGCCTCAGCCAGCACTAGCATCTGCAGGCTGCCGGCACCCTGCATGGCACTGCATTGTGTCCCAGTGGGTGCATACCCATGGGAACACTGGTCCTGTCACACATCCTACTGCCCAGAAGCTGTTGACCTGATGAGACGGATGGACCAGGCTTGCACGATGCCGCTGGAGCTGCACTGTGATGTGGGCGCTATCCTCTAAGGTGAGATTTACACTCTGAATCAACAACTACCATGGTGCAGGGTGTGTCTCCAGCAGGTAGAACGCAATGGTTCAGGAATCAAGGGGTGGAAGTAGGGACGGCCCCACTTCTCACTCCCAGTGGTCCACTTGGAGTTTATGCTCTCCATCTGTGCAACCTGGCCTTGCATATATAGGGGCCCTGGCTTCCAGCAAGAGAGTACTTTTGCCAGAGAACACAGCAAGAGTTCTGGTCACTTTATGTTGCATTGCCAAGGGATTAGCAGGCTAGAAAGGGAGTTGCCATCCTGGAAGGGGTAACTGACTCTCAGGAGCAGGCAGGGCTGCAGTTATAGAATGGGGTATTTAAATGGGAAGAATGCATTTGGCACCCAGGTGGTTCACTGTGGCATCTCTTGGTCCTCCCCTGCCCAATGTTGATAGCAAATCATTCAGTAGTCATGGCTTTAGAATGGCACCCAGGAGCCTGGACCCATCAGGGATGATGTCTGTGTCACCCCACCAGGTAAGCCACCTAGAGGTCTTCTCTAAGGGCGAGGGGAATCTAGAATGAGTAGGAGAGAAGGAAGTCAATGGGAGTCAGCTGCAACTTCAAGACCAGCTGTGGCAGCATGAGCTACATATAGTTTACCCTGCTAACCTTCCATTTGTACATTTCTCCAGTCTCTCTCATTCCACAAGCAAATGTCTCCAGGCAGTGCAAGGGGCAGACGACAGCAGATGCTGTGAGGCTGGCCAGACCCCTCCTCCAGGACTGATATCCCTGCTGCTGGGTATGTCCGCAGCAGACAGCTCTCTGCCAAGTCTCTACCCGGGAAGTGCCCCCAGCTGAAGAAAGCTGCTTCACCCAAAGCCTTTCTTCCTTCTGCGGGAAGCCCACATCGAAAACCTGGTCTATGCATAGGGATGTAAGGCCTGACCACTCTGTGTCCATGCACAACAACTCAGAAGGCTCATCCAGCTCCAGAGCTCCTTCTAGGACCTGCTGTGGCAACTGCACGGCAGTTCAGCCTTCCTTCAAACTGCTTCATGCGATTCCCCACAGCATCCTCCAGTACACAGTCTGCACTCGAATCTCAAGCAGCTCAGGGTTTTCTTCCTGGAAAACATGTACTATTACAATTCCCTACTAAGTGTTTTTCATATTACAGCCAGAGATCTTTCGAAAGCACCCATCTGATGACGTCAATCTTTAAAAAATCTCCAGATGCCTTCTCACTGCCCTAAATCCCAAGCTCCTGCCTGTGGCTGATAAGGCCCTTCATTTCCTGGCTCCGTCTCCAGCCTAGTCTGTGGCCACAGCCACCATCACTTTATGGCACAGTCAAGGGAGTGTCTTCCACCTCCCTGAACGTGTCATTCATGCTCATCTCCAGAACTTTACACACCCTGTCCCTTTGCTTAGGACACCCATAAGTTCCTTCCCTGCCTGAAGAGCTCATCCCTGTAGGTCTCAAATTTCACTTCTTTCAATGAACAATTCCTCCAACCCCGTGGAGAACTGGCCAGGTCCCACTTTTATGCTTCCAAAGCATCCTGAACACTCTCTCGTGCCTCTTAGCATACAACATTTTAATTATTTGTCAAACTGTTTTTCTACTTCACTAGATTACAAACCCTATGAGAACAGTGGCCAAGTCCAAAGTCCAAGTCTATCTTTTTTTTTTTTTTTTTTTTTTGGAGACAGAGTCTTGCACTGTTGCCTGGGCTGGAGTGCAGTGGCAACCTCCACCTCCCAGCTTTAAGCGATTTTCCTGCCTCAGCCTCCCACCAAGTCTATCTTTAATGTTGTATCCAAAATGCCTAGTACTATGCGTGGTAATAAAAGGTGCTTTATAAATGTGTACTGAGCATCCTTCTTCTTCCTTCTTTCCACTAATTATAAGAAATTCACAGTTGAAATGAGGTTCAAAGGCACATAATGTAGGAAGTGTAACACAACGTTGCAGCCAAAATTCCACTTATAGATGTGTTTAAGATTTAAAAAAATGTTAATTCTCAACATTTAAAAATAAAGATATTTAACAAAAACGCATGGATTTTATGCTACTGACATCACAAAATCACACTGGAAGGCCTGGTACCATTGGGCTCACATTTCTGCTGGGTAAACATGGACCTGAACTGGGGAGCTGTGTAGCAGGTGTCTCCCCAACACCCCACAACAAGCCATGCCCACTCCAGTTTGCCACAGACCACCCCCACCCGCCCCAGCATGGGGCTATGTGTCATTATGCTTGCAGGCTTTTGTGTTGATGTGTTTTTGTTGTTCTGTTTGTTTTAATAGGAAAAGCAGAAGAAAATGAAATTTATCTTTGCATCCTTATCAAAATATTGACAGGTCCATGAAGCAGGCTTCAACTCTGCCTCACTCATTTAAGGGTTGTGTTGCTGTTGGCATTTGAGTTGGCCATCCCTGGTATTGTGTTTGACAAGCCAACAACAGCCCACTCATCCCCCTCTTTCAAAAGGCAGAGTGACCAGTAAGAACAATGGAAGCGCATTTCTGCTTCACTGGGACTGGAGTGGTCATCAGTGCTGGCTGGTGCAGCTCCCAAAGACCTGGGTAAAATAATGGTCTGGGGCTTGTCAACTCTATGCCCCTGGGTGGCCACTCTCCCTCCCTCTCCCTTGCCTATGGACAAAATCTATCACAAAAACTTGAGATAAGCCTCAGAATAAGATGGTGTACGTGAAAGTGCTTTGTAATCAAGCACGATACAAGTGCATATCCCAAGCAAATTATTATATTTATCCCAAGCAAATGGTGGGTTTATTTTTCTAATTTAGGAGGCAGATGGAAGGAACTGAGGTTTACTGTGGAAATCTAATTTTCTTTTATGATTCAAAAGATTACTGAGACATAATCCAGCCCTGAAGCTACTGTCTATTCTTTTCCTGTACTTACCCAGCTTCATGGTAGGGAGGGAGGTGTGTGGATGAAGGAGGGATTTGTCATTCATTCAACAAACACTTAATGAGCACCTACTCTGTGCCAGGCACTGCAGGATACAGGATGCGACAGGCACAAACCCTCCACTAACAAAGCCCAGACTTTTTAGGCCGGGCGCAGTGGCTCATGCCTGTAATCCCAGCACTTCGGGAGGCCAAGGCGGGTGGATCACGAGGTCAGGAGATTGAGACCATCCTGGCTAACACAGTGAAACCCCGTCTCTACCAAAAATACAAAAAATTAGCCGGGTGCAGTAGCAGGTGCCTGTAGTTTCAGCTACTTGGAAGGCTGGGGCAGGAGAATGGCGTGAACCCGGGAGGCAGAGCTTGCAGTGAGCCAAGATAGCGCCATTGTAGTCCGGCCTGGGTGAAAGAGCGAGACTCCATCTCAAAAAAAAAAAAAAAAAAAAAATCAAAACAAAAACAAACAAACAAACAAACAAAACAAAGCCCAGACTTTTTGTGAAGATACAGAGAAACGATATTTCAAGTGACGAATGTATCAGAATGTACAGTTGTCTGAAAGCTTACAGGATGTAGTGGGGAGGGCAGATGGCTTCTGGGAGGAGGTAACATGATCTGGGCCTAGAATGTTGAGCAGGAGGCATGGTTGGTAGGCAGGCATGGGCACATTCCCCTCAGACACTGTAGATCTATTAGAGAGAGCAGTTGCTGATCCCCAACTACTTAGGTAAAGTATAGCCACTGAAATTGATCTCTTCTGCGGCTTTAGAGAGCACCACTAAAAATCTGGAAGTCTCAGTCTGCACTCCTGCTGAATAGGGAGAGGAACATCAACTACCTAGAACCAGTTTATGTGGCTTTTGCAAGAGCAAGTGTGTAGTTATTAGCAAGCCTCCAGGGGCAATACGCGGAAGGAACTGGAACACGGGGAGGAGAACAAGCAGGGAAAAACAAGGAAAGCAAACGGGACTGGACTCTCGTTAGTCTGTGATGGATTGATCTTCTGTCACTGCTTTCCCAAACTCCCAGCAGTTTCAACGTAAAGCTTGTTCAATATTTTAAAACCAATTTAAAGCCAATTTTTGAGTTTGCTTTAAAGAATTATTGCATTAATCAAAAAATACATTAAGTTTTAGGTCCAACAGTCTAACTGATAGGAAAAGCTGATTGGGACTCAAGAGAAATGGGCTCTCCTGGCTGGAGCATGTAATGTGCAAGAACAGAAACCAATCAATGCTAAAGGGAAGAACAGCAGAAACGAGTCACAAATGGCTCAAAGCAAAGAACCCTGCAACTGAATGGAATTGAAAGAAAGTGTGAAGAGGGCTGATGAGGGTATTTAGTTATTATTAGCAAAATTCAGATGTGAGAACACATCTAAAGCCTTCGGTTCCAAGGGAGGCTGCAATTGGGCTTTCATTGTGAGATGTGTAGAGTGTCATCCTTTCAAAGATTTCAGGTCAATGAAACTGCAGAGGTCATCCTCCTGGAGACCATGCTGCTTGAGAGAAATGTAGGGAACAGAAAATAAGCCAGCTCTATGAAAATAAAAGCCCTTCATTCTGTTATCAAATCGAATTGGGTCATGAAATTTGAAGAAATAGCTTGTTTGGTTCGTGCCTTCCCACATCCAAAAGCAGCTATGGTTGAAATAAGGAAACTTGGGAAGATTGGTAAATTCGCTCATAGAGAAGGTGCTGGTAATTCTGTATTCTTTCCCCTCTCTGCTTTGCATCTGGAAGGCTGGCTCCCATGGGCTGTGCCCCTAGGATCCCTTGTGTCTGGCTTCGGTGGGGTATGGCCCATGGGAGACATTAGCAAGAGATCGGATGGCAGGAGGCAGGAGGCAAGATGTCCATGCTCACTCCCTTCCTGTGTGGGGCTACTTCCAGGCAACGCTGGATGCTCCGTGATGACACCTCCTGTCATGAGGCCCCTTCTCCATGGCTGCAGCTCATGGGGTTCATGGGACTCTTCCTCCCCCTGCCTTTACAGGCCTGGGGTGGTCATGGCTCCCCAGTGATGCTCGCTCTGAGGCCCTCAGCCCTGTGATGGTTCCTGTGTCCCCAGCCCGCCTCTGCAGGTCATCCCTTTCATTAACATCTCCTCCTGTGCCCATCTGGGTTGGCTTCTCTCTCCCGAGGGACCCTGACCGAATCAGAGACGTAGGAAAACATGGCAGCAAAGACCCCAATTAGTTGCTTTCCGTTGTCTGGCAACTGTTCACCAGCAGACATCTTTTTAGTTTGGCTGGTTGGTTTGCTTTGTTTTCAAATAAGAGGAATTGGAGGCTGGCCCTGTGATCAGGAACCAGAAGCAGGAAGAGCCTCATCTCCTGGGGGGGTCTAACTGCAGGGCTGCTTCATCCTGAGTTCTTTCTGGGATGACCCTGATGTGGATTAACTATACCTCCTCAGAATTCCTATCATGTCAGTTGCTTGTGCAACCTCTGTGGCATCTATTGAAGCCGTAGAAACTCCATGGGAGCAGGGACGTTGTCTTACTCTTTGTCCCGAGGGCCTAGAACCATGCCTAACATATTACGGGTGTTTAATGCATATTTGTTGAATGAATGAAATAATGTCTCATGGGGCGCAGTGGCTCACGCCTGTCATCTCAGTACTTTGGGAGGCTTGCTTGAGCTCAGGAGTTCAAGACCCCAGCCTGGGCAACATGCTGAAACCCTGTCTCTACAAAAAATACAAAAAGTAGCCTGGTGTGGTGGCATGTGCCTGCAGTTCCAGTTACTTGGGAGGCTGAGGTGGCAGGGTTGCCTGAGCCAAGGATAAGGAGTCTGCAGTGAGCCAAGATCATACCACTGCACCCCAGCCTGGGCAACACAGTGAGACCCTGGTTCAAAAAAAATGAAATAATGTCTCTTTCTTTATAGATGCTGCCATCACTCAACAAACCATCTATTAAATGTCTGTGCAGCAGATGTCATCTTGGGCCTGGAGACACAGGGGAACAGAGGACACAGTCTGGTTGAAGAGGTTCTGGCTTCTGCAACTTTGCCCATGTGGCACCCTCTGCTGGAATGTCCTTTACCACACCATCCTGCTGTCCTGACCAACTCTGACCCATCTTCTGTGACTTTTCCAGGGAAACCTGGAAGTGTTTTATATAAAGCTATAGAGTTGCTAAGCTTTGGTTTAGCATATTACTGTAATTACGATATTCATTTTCCAGTAAATCTCCCCCCATGGCTCCCCTATGAGCCTCTAAAGGGAAATACACTTTTCTTTTCTTTTTTTGAGGGGGTGGGGATGGAGTCTCACTCTGTCACCAGGCTGGAGTGCAGTGGTGCGATCTCAGCTCACTGCAACCTCCACCTCCCGGGTTCAAGCGATTCTCCTGCCTCAGCCTCCTGAATAGCTGGGATTACAGGTGCACGCCACCACACCCAGCTAATTTTTGTATTTTTAGTAGAGACGGGGTTTCACCATGTTGGCCAGGCTGATCTCAATCTCTTGACCTCATGATCCGCCCACCTCGGCCTCCCAAAGTGCTGGGATTACAGGCATAAGCCACCTCGCCCGGCCGGGAAATATACTTTTCAATGCATTTTTCTAGAGAGTCTAGCAGCTGCTTGACCCACCCAAATGCTCAACTTAATGTCTGCTAATTGACACTATTTGCAGACACAGTTCCCCCGATGCTGGACATCTATGGTTTAGGTCATCTCTAACTTTCTTTTTCCTATTTTTCTGAATCCAATATTAAGGTTTTAACAATTTAAAAACATTTAATTTGGGCTACCTTAATCTTTAACACCAAGGCTGGATGGTTCCTCTTGACTGAAGAATGAATGGGATTAGAGGGAGGGTCAGGCGCCTGGATGGCTTTAGGTTAAGCAATGCTCTTCTTTCCCTTACAGCTACTGTTTCCAAATAAATACTGTAGATGCCAGAGTATCACTTTGTGGAAGCCTCTGCCATGTTTGCAGTCTCAGAGCATATGGATGTAAATTGCTAGACTAACTCCGTTTCCCAGAGCCTCAGGTATACCCGCCTCCATTACAGCGGTCCTGAGGCAGGGGTCTCTGGGCCATTATTGCTTTTGCTGTCAGTACCTGGTAAGCTCGCGTTTGAATGTCCCTGAGCTAAAATAAAATTAACAGAAAGAGCATTTGCTGCCTGGGCTATGGAAATGGCAACTCAGTCCTAAATCCACTCATATGCTCATGGCTGGCAATTTAGGAGCAGACGAGAAGACCCAAATTCACCAGTTCTATTTATTTAGTTATGCTAATATTGGATAAACTCATCTGCAGAATTCCATATAGGGATACACTTATTCATGCTCTGATTTTAGAGCATTCAGATCTTTAACATTCTCTATTGTAAAATCAAAATATTCTGGGATTTCTATGTCTGTTTACTAGGTTCCTATCAGTACAATGACTAAAGGATTTATTTGCAAAGATTTGGTGTTTAAACCCTTGTTAACATCTACATTGGGAGAAAAATAATGAGCAAATTCATCTACTGTGATGACGTTTTTACTCTTTTTCCCTGAAGGTTTGGTTGATCCTAATTAATAAATAAAATAAAATGCATTTGCACTTTCCTAAGACTGAGATAGCACCTTAGAGAGTGAGGCTCGGCCAACACATTCTTTACTTAATGAGGACTGAAACACCAGTTAGCATAGGGCATGATGCTGCTAAAGGACAATGATATCCTTACATAATGTCATCTTTCTGTACATGCCACTCACAGAGGTATTTTCACCAGAGATTCTAAACTAGGGCATTAAAAACATTGAAGTAGACTTAGTATGGATTTCTCTGATTTAGACACTGTTAAGTTGTTTTATTTCCCCTCTAAGGACTCCTTTGAAAATGCTCACATGCCTTGTCCCTGTTCCATATCTGCCCAGGGAAAAGCTATTTTGGACATGCCCCAAGTGGCCACTGGGAAGTCTACACTGTGCCCCAAGGAGGGGAGTCATTCTGGGAGAAGCCACGGCCCCATTCCCATGGCTGTCAGCTACCAGTCTGCTTCTTGCTTTTTTAGAATGGAACTCTCCATGACCTCCAGGAAACGGCTCCAGTCCCCCACTGTATCCGGAGCCCTGCTTGGAGGAATGAGTAGGGCATTCTGTACCTGAGTAGTTGTTCCTGAGGCTTCAAATACGGCACTGCACTCCCCTTCATGGTACGCTTCTTTACATTCCCGGCAGAAGGCAAACTGCAAAAGAACACACATCCATTAATTAGGGACATTAGGTTGCATTTGGCAATAACACATTTTTCCTTTTCCAAATTCATTATATTCATTCCTCTGGCTTGTGCAACAGTTTCTGTATAAAAATACTTTTTTTGCAAAGAGAAATCAAGTTATGTTTTGATGGGATTGTTCACTCTTTACTCAAGAGTGTTCCAAGCACCATAGCAGGGCTACAGAGATGATGGGTCACATTTCCTTCCCTCAAGATGTTTCCAGTCTAGTGGAAGACACAGTGATATGGTTTGGCTGTGTCCCCACCCAAATCTCATCTTGAATTGTAGTTCCCATAATCCCCATGTGTCATGGGAAAGACCTGGTGGGAGGTAATTGAATCATGGGGATGATTTCTCCCATGCTATTCTTGTGATAGTGAGTGAGTTCTCACGAGATCTGACGGTTTTACAATGGGCTTCCCCCTTCGCTCAGCTCTCATTCTTCTCCTTCCTGCCACCATGTGAAGAAGGATGTGTTTGCTTCCCCTTCCACCATGATTGTGAATTTCCTGAGGCCTACTCAGCCCTGCACAAATGTGAATCAATTGAACCTCTTTCCTTTATAAATTATCCAGTCTCGGGTATGTCCTTATAGCAGTGTGAGAACAGACTAATACACACAGTAATGCAAATAAATACCCACAGCAAAGTTTAATTGGTATTAGAATGTAAGGAAAAAACTTCATTCAAGACATTCCCTTTAATATTTGTTTACATTCAATATTTGTTTGCATTCACAGAAGATTTATATGCCCATGTCAGTGGACTTACTTTCGTATTAAAAGCCTATTATGGAAAAAGAAATGGGTGGCTATGGGCTGAACCGTGCCCCCACATAATGGATAGGTGGAAGCAGGACCTCAGAAAGTAACTGTATTTGGAGACAGGGCCTTTAAAGTGGTAAAGGGAAGATGAGGTTGTTAGGGGAGGCCTTCTTCAATCTGACTGGTGTCCTTACAAGATGAGGAGATTAGGACAGAGACACACGGACTGAGAGATGATGAGCAGCATTCACCATGGGACTGAAGACGCCCAAGGAACCAATGCCCTCTACCCGCCATCGTACAAAGAAGAAAGCTGGAAGAGTGAATGCCAGAGAGGCTCGTTTAGGGCTGTCTGTCTGGGATCCATGGACCTCTCCTGAAAGCACGTCCCATTCTCATCGCCACCAGCCATGCTCTGAAGTTACTGTCACGGTTGAGTTGTGGATCAGCAGTGGAACACACCAGACTGGAGTCATCATCCCATCCCCTGCCACCTGAAACACCTTGGGAAAGCCACCTTGGTTTCTGTGCCTTGGTTTCCACCTTGGAAATGCTAGGATAACAGCGATAGCTTTCTCATATGACCCCTGGGAGAGGTAGTGAGATAGCACATGCTGAGTGGCTACAATCACAGCATACAATGTGTTCTAAACTTTAAGGAGATAAGAACAACAGGGACTATTTTGCCCCTACTCCATTTCATAGGAAGGAGTTTCCTCACCAGAAAACTGGTTTCTTTCAATGGAACTTTCTTTAATAAGTTGTAGGCAACATCTCCCACAGCAGAAACTGTATTCAGAGAAGGCATTTCAGCAGAGGAGAGAGTGCCATCCACAAGTATGGTGTGTGGATGATGGTGGTGGTCTTAGAGCATAGAGGCAAACTGACAGTATCCTCTTTCCCTTGAGAGGTGGGCTTTATGTCTCTTCTGCTGACAGCCAGATGTGTTGAGTACTTGACTCCTAGAATATGGTAGAAATGATGGTGTACCACTTTCTAGGCCCAGGCCTCAAGAAACCAGAAGCTTCCATTTCCTGTTGGGACACTTGCTCTTGAAGCCCAGCTGCCATATGGTAAGGAAGCTCAACAGCCCATGGGAGCCCCACATGGAGAAGAGCTGCGGCCTCAGCCGCAACAATAGCCCTGTCTGAGCTTTTAGTAGACAGCCAGCACCAACTTGCCAGCTATGTGACTGGGTCATATTCCAAGTAGACTGTTGTTATTTGAAATCATTAAAGTTTAGGGTGGTTTTTACACAGCAATAAATAACTGATACAGTAATAAATAAGAATATAATATGCTGAAAGTAGTGTCTGGAAGATTCAAAAATTTACAGAGACTTACAAGTTCTCAAACTAATATTTTATAGTATAAGTTAGGAATTTAGCCTAATTTTGCTTAAGACAGGACTGATTTGAATTGAAAAACAAAAATAATAGAAACCAGGATATAAAACCAACTCTATCCCAAAATATACCATAATTCCTCCTTGCCTCAAAAAAGAATGGCTTTTACTCAACACTATTTTTCCTTCATGTTGTCTTCACCATGTGAACAGAGTTTTCTCCTTTCCTACGTCCAATTTCTTGTTTTAAAAGTTCATCTGAAAAGTATTTTAATCTCAGGACATCAGAAACAAAAAGGAAAAGCATTTTATAAGGAAACAATCTCTTCAGAGATATGCCACAATTGATCTTCAAGCCATCACTTTTAGCATATTATATTCTTATTTCTTCTCACAGCAGAGAGACTGAACTCAAATTTAGTGAAATGTAAACTTTATTTAAAGGTTGGTGGGACAGCGTGTGTGCATCAGAACGTCCTTACACAAATCACCAACATTACCTGGTTTCAGCTTCTGACATCTTATTTTCTCTGAACTAAAAGCGAATTCACTGAATAGTGAGTTGAGTTCTAGGATTTTCTCCTATTTTTAAAAACATTTATCTGTTAATACTTGGGTCTGCCTCACACTCATTCCTCTGCTCTTACATGCTTTGTTGGAAAAATGTGGACGGGAGGCCCAATCATGGAGAACTGGCAATGGGGTCTCAGCCCACTGCTTTCTAGAGAAGCAAATCTTATCTGTTGGTGTGAAAGGGAAAACCGTTCACATCTTATTAGCTCGTGGATGAGATATAAAATCAGTTTCATGGTAGAGGAACACCCTGGAGGCTGATCAGTTTGTCAGAATAAATAGGCTTTTCCTGACACAAAGACATTAAATTCCCTTTCACACCAGTACTACAAAGAATGGACTATTGAGAAATAAGAGAAAGGGAAGAGCATATCAAATGAAAGCCTCCCCACTTTAGCATGGCAAAAGGCAAGCAAATGCTGCAGGAATATTCCGGTGATGACTTCACAGGGAGGCACTGGCTAATTTGCTTCTATTCAAAGTATAATTTAAATTTAGATCTATCATGCAGTGGTCCTTCCCAATTAAGTAACATGAATCTGTCTCATGTGCAATGTAGAAGGTCTGATTTGATCTTGAAAATGTTTGGGTTTTCAATTACATTATCCAGGACTCAAGACTCTCAACCTTCAGTTCTCACACTACGCACCAGAGTGCCCTGCGGTACTGTAACAAACTCACAGGGGTGCCTGGGATATTCTAGAATTTTAAGTAAAACACAGCATGGCTATTGAACACTATGTGATTTATTAACTCAAGGTAGTTCCCAGTGTTAATGTAGATTGTGCTATTTTCCTTTTGGTGACATTGTATCTTTGCAAAGGTGGGCTTTTGGAAGTTACCAGAATAGAAAACAAATACCATGTAAACATCCATTTGGAACAAAGATGTGATTTATTTATTTATTTATTTATTGAGACAGAGTCTTGCTCTGTTGCCCAGGCTGGAGTGCAGTGGCACCATCTCGGCTCACTGCAACCTCCGCCTCCCGGGTTCAAGCAATTCTCCCGTCTCAGCCTCCTGAGTAGCTGGGACTACAGGCGCCTGCCACCACGCCCGGCTAATTTTTGTATTTTTAGTAAAGACGGGATTTCACCATGTTGGTCAGGCTGGTCTTGAACTCCTGACCTCAGGTGATCCACCCGCCTCGGCCTCCCAAAGTGCTGGGATTACAGGCATGAGCCACCGTGCCTGGCCAAGACGTGATTATTTTTAAGAATAAAATAAAGCTAATTTTTCCTTCCATTTGTGTGAATTATCATTTCAGATAACTATTAAGTCGTTATGACATTAATTCTTACTATGCTACGTGGTACAAAACCTTTCATAACCACAACTGTTAGGCATTTCTTTTGGCCTAGAAATACCGTGAAAAATGTACTGAACCGCTAAGGGCATGGGGAACAGAATTCTGGGGAACTCTGGGTTAGGCAGATACAAAACTCCTTCTTAAGACAGTGTTCGGGCCAGTTTGCAAACACTTCCCATGGCATAGCTGTTTCTAGAGAAAAAGCTTGCCGGGGAAGAAAGCAGACCTAGCTCCAACATTTTCACATCCATTCTGCTGAGCTGCATGTCTCATATCTGGGGCGCCTGGATCCTTCTTTAACCAACCATGTAGAAGGCTGAAATTTACCCAGGGATTTGCTATTACTTAAAAATGGTCTTACATTTGCTGAGGCTCCCTTAAGCTGCATAATACCTCTCCAAACCTTATGAGTCAACATTAACCGAATGGAAGTTAGTATACCAGGAAACATGGAGTCCTGTTTATACCGTATACATTTTCAGGATTGTCTTCTCTTGTGGTGGATCTAACAAATGTGATCCATTTCCGTAGAGTTGTTTTTTTTTTTCGAGAAATTTTAAATGTCTTTAAACAATCATAAAATAATACATACTTATTTCATTGGCTCTCTAAAGTCTATTCCCTTATAGATTTGGTTAGAAGGCAATCAAACACATGGACTGTATTATAGTCCCTGTGACGAGAGTTTATGTATTAACTTGGCTAGGCTATGGTCCTCAGTTACTCAAGCAGACACTAATCTTGGTGTTTCTGTGAAGCTTTCTTGTAGATGTGACTAGGATCTATAATCAGTTTATTTTAAGTAAGAGAGATTATCCTAGATAACCTGAAGGGGGCTGATTCAATCTGTGGAAAGGCCTAAGAGCATAACTGAGCCTTCCCTGAGGAAGAAGAGATTTCACCTGTGGACAGCAGCGTCAGGCTGTGCTCAAGAGTTCCAGCCTGCCCTTCCTGATGGCCACTCTGTGGATTTAGGAGGTGCCTACCCAGCCCTGAAACCGTGTAAGCCACTTCCTTCCAGTAAATCTCTCCATATATCTGTGTATACACAGATATATAGATACAATGTGTGCCTGCATGTATATATATGTAGGGATATACACATATATATGCATATATGTGTGTATGTGTATGTATATTTGATATAAGCATCCTGCTGGTCTGGTCTCTCTGGTGAAGCTCTGGCTGATAAAGCTCCTATAGAAACAAATTATTTTTAATAGAGACGGGGTTTCACCGTCTTGGCCAAGCTGGTCTCGAACCCTGACCTCGTGATCCGCCTGCCTCGGCCTCCCAAAGTGCTGGGATTACAGGTGTGAACCACCAATACAAAAATTAGCTGGCATGGTGGCAGGCACCTGTAATCCCAGCTACTTGGGAGGCTGAGGCAGGAGAACCGTTTGAACCCTGGAGGCGGAGGTTGCAGTGAGCCAAGATTGTGCCATTGCACTCCAGCCTGGGTGACAGGGTGAGACTCTGTCTCCAAAAAAAAAGAAAAAGAAAAAATTTAACAAGGTCACTTTATTCCCAATCTTTTGCAAAAGAACTGATGTAATGAAAACTATTTAAACTTTCCCTGTTATTTGCAAAATTATAGTTCAAACCTCTCTCTCTCTCTCTCTCTCTCTCTCGCTATATATATATACATATATAAATTCCAGGTAGCCATATGGCAAATTCCTCTCAGAATTCAACACCAGGAGAAAGTTCACCACTTCCAACAGTGTGGTGGTTTCCTTTCATTTGACAATAAACATGGTCACCTAATACATTCTCCTTGGTATGTTTTCAAGCTTGAGAGCTTGGTGCCACACTTTTAACTTAATTCTAGTCATCAGCTTATCCTAAATGCCTAAAAGGAGGTATAGAATAAAAAAAAAAAGATTTAATAGAGGCTAAATTCAATAAGCCAATTTTTTTCTATTGCATAATAGCTAAACTATTCTTAACATTGAAGTCATATTTTTGTCTTGCAACTAATATGTGTTGAGTATTTACTTTTAGGATGAGTAAAATCTTGGCCCTAGGCAACATATAAAAGAATAGCACATTTTAATCTGTGAAATCGTGTACTAGATCTTTACATGTTTAAATACCAGATGTAGATTAGTGTTTAGAAGTGAACCCTTTGAGGTAGAGAGACCCGGAGTCTGAGGCCTCTTGGATCATTTATTATCTGTGTGATCCCAACATCTCTTTGCTTGAGCTTTTTTGCATCTACAAAGAAGAAATAATAAGATAAAGAATATTTAACACAGTTTCTGGTACACAGTAAACACAACAACACAACAAATAGTTTTCTCCATGGGGCTATGATGTTTAACAAGTGGTAAGAGTCTGTAGAAAAATAAGAGGGTAGTAAGCGCCTTGTTAATTAAAGCAGTTCCCAGTATACTGATAATAATGACTGTTATGTGAATCTCGGGTAAAACTGACACCTCCCCAGAAATGCCACACTTGTAAACTACTCATAAGACATAAGACTGCTGTCTAGAAAGGGATGAGGCCTCTCTTTGCTGGTATACATGCTGAGGTAAGTCACTGTCAGCCCCCTTAGACGCTCTGTACTACCAGAGAGCTATGTGAATGGCCCATCATGCCTCTCATTCAATATCATGTCAGTGCAGTAGTCATTTGATTGATGTTTGAGTTTGCTTTCCCATATTTCCATAATGAACACATTCAAAAGGGGCTGTATGTGTACTTTCTCTGTGGAAGCATGAAAAGGAAGCAAATGAACAGCTTCTAATGCAATCGGAATATTCCAGTGGCTGCTGATCAATCAGGTTGAGAGCCAGTAGGTACCTACAAGCAATGACCCTTAAAATAAGGCTTGATGATGATCTCTCTATGGAAGCCAAGATTTCTTTGTGCCTGTTTTCTATCATGGCTGCATCTATTATAAAAGCATTCTATTATGTGCATTTATTTTTCTTCCACGGCTCTGAAATTCTGTGTTAAAAGAATAGGAGAGAATCAAATACCATCTTAGGACCCCTTACTAGAGTCAAGGCAAACATCAAAGGCATGAAGCACACATTTGTACTTCTTTGGGAATAGATGAAATATTTTTCTTTTTGGTGTGTAGCTTTCCAGAAGATGGCAGCAGAGATACGTAAGTCCAGCCTCTGTAAAGGGAATCTATCAAGAGAGGAAGTCTCCCTATGAGTCACCAGCCGCTGATATATGCAAAACTCGTTCTGACAAGACAGTGCCACAGAACGGAGATGGTGTTAGATTATAATGCATTAAAACACAATTTTGAAAAGAAGAAAGTAAGGTTATTTCCTTTCAAGTACACAACATCTTAAAATCACAGACTCTCATGGTGTGAGGCAATCTTAAACTGTGCTAAGCTCCAAATGCAAACAGACGAAGACAGTGTTCTATGTGTGGTCTCCAAAGGGCTAAAAAGAAAGAATTTTCAGGAGGCTGGATACAGCTCTGTAGAGTACCCACGTTCCTTTGTCTTTCACAAATTCTGTACTAATCCCCAGGGATATTAAACAATGCCAATTAGTTTCCCACAAAATATTGTGACCTCCAACACCCTGCAGCCCTAGGCTTATTTTTGTTTTAGGTTTGCTCTTTGAACAGGTCCTTACTTTCTTTGGTTTAATTTCCATTCTTGCAAGCTCTGAAAAGATCCCCGAAAATCCCCTTTTCTTACACCAACATCTATCATCATGCGCGTGCACGTAACCATCCCATCTTTCAGTTGTGCAGTCTGCACTGACCCACTCACTATGAGTACCGTCTAGTAGGAAACTTTAGTACCACCTGTCTCAGAACTAGGGCCCCTCAGAGAAGATGAGTTCATGCAATGAGGAGAAAAGACCCACTGAGCTTACTTTCAACAGGCTGACCTCAGCACCTCACATTAAAAGATCCATGATAAGGTGGTCCTCCTGACAATGGTTCTGCTGGGAATTAACTATCCAGTCTATAATTACGGACAAAGACATTTACATTTACTTCCTACTCCAAAATAGTTTTGATTTTTACCATAACTTAAAGGGAAAATAAACTTAAAAATGTGTATTGGCCATTTATTTTTTTCTTTTCTTTAAGAGCGTTACTGAAATATCATTTGCAGAGTCATGGATTTTTAAAAAGTAGGTATTCTTTGAATGCAAAATATGTGCAGGTAGCACAGATTCAAAAGGTACATTGTGAAAAATGTCTCCTTTCCTCCTTGGTCAGCTACATAGCTTCCCAGAGACAATCACTGTCACCTGTTTGTATAGGTATTGTTCCAGAAATATGTTCTGCACTCAATCATCAATTTATGCTATTTTTAAACAAAAATACCCTATAAAACATTGTATAATGTGCTGTACTCTGCTTGTTGGTTTTTCGTTTAATGCATGCTACAGATGGCTGTCTATTAGCACACGGAGAGCTGCTCCATTCTTCCTGAACAGCCACACAATATTCCAGTGGATAGATGTGCCTTCGTTCATTTCACCAGCCCCTCCGATCAGCATTTAGGTCCTTCCAATATTTTGCCATGACAAACAAAGCTGCAGGGAATGTCCCGCTCTTCAGGTCATTTCACACATGTGAAAGGAAATCTGTAGCAGAAATTTCTAGACATGAAATAGCTGGGTCCAAGGGCATATGGACTTTCCATTTTGATTGCTTTCGCGAGCCTTGTCAGTCACAGGCTTAGCAGCAAGGTGGGTGGAAGCTGCTTCCCCAACACGCTGTGGTCTCAACCACCGCCTTTGTCAAGCTGCTTTAAAAGAATATCAAATACATCCCAGCACTTTTGCTAAGACCTTCTTTATACATGTTTTGTCACCACAGAGTTGTGTTCCTAGCCAAAGCAATTACTCTGACCACGTTTAAGTCTTGTCTACACAGCCAAAGCTGGGTCAGGAGTGGCCTGTGGTCAGGCTCACTCTGACTTTCCTCAGCTCAACACACATGGAGCTGGTCGTCTCATTCTGATGGGCCTGAATCTGGCCCGCCTGCCAGGAAAGGACTTGTAATGAATTTAAGCTCAGCGGCTTTAAACACAGACAGCCAACAAATTAGAGGTCCAGGTTAGAGAGAAAGAAACAGTGAATGGGGGAACGGCAGCTTCCCTCACTTGTGGCTGTGTCGTGAGCCTCAGCTTTGCAGACTTGGCTCTCAGTGACGCTTGCCAGGTGACCTGACTGCAGCAGTCTGCCAGAGGACAGGGGAAGCTGGGGTGGGAGTGCTGTATGCTCTCGGTCCCTAATCCCCCGCCTCTTTTCTTACTTTCTCTTTACTGTAACCATTTCTGAAAACAATTCCTATGGGGACAGTCCTTATCTTCCAAGGTCCCCAGCTCTGGCATTTGTGTCATGGCTTACCTTGTTCCCAAAGGCTAAGGTAGGACCTGGTTGCAAGCTGGAACTCTTGTTCAATGATATGTTCACACCATCCTGTTCATCTAAACAAACTTCTTGGCGGGCAAATTTCAATATCTAACTGAGAATTCCCTTTACCATCCTGCAAGGCCTGCCCAATTTTGCTTTAAAATGAGCATTTCTCAGACCTTATGGAGCAGTTGGCTCCTTCTAGAACTGGAGCACTGGTCACAGAGTATCAAATTCAATGCCACTTTCAAACATCGCCATTCATTAGTGGGCCCATTCAAATATTGCCATTAATTAGTGAACATGTTTGAATATGGCCATTCATTAGTAAAACGCACAGCATATGTCTTCTATAATTTTTAACTGGTCCCTAATCCTCGTGACCTTATCATTTACAATCTGCAGCAAGGCACTAGACTCTGTAGAAATGATTACGCTACGC
Source organism: Homo sapiens (assembly GCF_000001405.40). Lineage (NCBI taxonomy): Eukaryota > Metazoa > Chordata > Mammalia > Primates > Hominidae > Homo > Homo sapiens. The sequence goes on from NC_000006.12 coordinate 161,396,691, forward strand.
CAGTAAAAATGTGAAATCCAAGCCATATGGCAATTTGAGCCCAATTTGTCCCATGTGCCTGTGGGTATCCTTATGCTCTCTAGCACAGCAGGGGAGGCGAAATGCTTTCCCTGAATACCTGGGCCCGCCCTGGGCAACTTGGGGCAAGGCCAGCTTTGGAAAGAGGCCTGAACATGTTTGGGGACACCCTGCCAGCACATCTTACAGACTTTTGTCTTTGGAGGTTTTGCAGCTCCTCAATGATCAATCAATCAATCAGTCAAAATGATACATTAACCCTTTATTGTATGTTGAGCAGTCTCATAGGTGCCCTGCAGGTATACCTGTTCTGGCCCCTTTCCCCTGCAGCCTCAGCCAAAATGATCAAGGTGTTTTCTTCCCAAGCCCTGTTTCTTACTCATACCTCTATTAAACTGTTTCACCCTCTATATGAAACTGTCTCCACCTATCTCCTCTTCTAAAGGGATAGGATTTGTATCTTATTCATCTTTGTCTTCCCAAGATCCAGGTGCTAGAACATAGTAGGTGATCAGTGTCTCTTTGTGGCAATCCAGGTGCTGGAGTCAAGTAGCTTACAGCTAAGGTGGATGTTTATAAAGCATAAAAGAGCTGAAGGACAATTGTGTACTCCATGATACAATGCACAATCATGGGTTGAATTGAGTATTCTTGTGTAAGTCTTAAGGGTCCCATAGAAGAGATCCAGGCGGGTTGAGGTCAGTGGGTAAGAGCACGTGGAGATAGCATTTGTTTTTCTGCCCTTCACATTTGCCCCTTCAGGGAGCATTCTAACATCAAGCTTAATTGACTGCCTCTCTTCTAACAACTTCTCAAAATCTATTCCACCCTTCCCAACTCCTCTTTTAAGATGCACTTTGCCTATTGCATATTTCCATTTGGATAGGTTGCAGTCACCTCAAATTCAAGTCACTTCTAATTCCACGTGATTATCATGAAGTTGCAAGGACCTAACAGAATAATGGCAATCATCAAACCTTTGCAGAATAAACAAGCAGTAGTAGCTGGAAAAGCCTCAACTTCTGAGAAGCAGAAGAGGATAGCACAGTGCTGAGGAAACCCAGTACTGAGAATGGAGAGGTCAATCCTGAGTACAAGAGGAATAACTAAGACTTTCTGCCAGGGAAAGTACTTTAGTGACCTCGGAGGCCATAATTTTGGTCCAATGGTTCAATGGTCAGCTAGATTCAGAGGCTAAGATCACAGGCATGATGGGGTGGAAAAGGCTTCACAACAGAGAGCTCTGAATCAGTTTGAAAACAGCAAAAGATGATGAAAAGAGAGAGAATGAAGACGCTAGCCAGAGAGGGGGCAGGATGGGAGTGAAGTCCCAGAGAAAGTCGAGGCTAGGGAGACACACTCAAAGGTTTATGGCTTTCAATGGAGGAGGATAAGGTTTTGCAGCAAAATCCTAGGAGAGTCACATTGATGAGAGAGTTTTCTCAAGGAGATGACACCCATGCCCTTGGTCTTCCTAACAGAGCACCATAGCAGCTCTGAATCTTCTGGAGTCTAGGGGGAGAGGAGAGTCACAGATAGAGAGGAGGCTGAAACAGTTACTGTCAGTTGGAGCATCCATGAGACATGAATTGAAGGGACGCCCATCCATGTTGATAACTAAATTCACATCACAGCACTGGCTCTAGTTAGTTCCCTAGAATGTGGTTCCCAGACTAGCACCATCAGCATCACCCAGGAGCATGTCAGAAAACCCGAATTTCAGGCCCCACCCAAGAAGTACTAGACCAGAATCTTTCATTTTACCAGGATCCCCGAGTGACTTGTATGCACCATTTAGAGACCCTGTTCTAGCTCATTCATTCAACCAAAAGTTCCTACTCAGGAACTCCACTCAGAATGTATGCTGTGCATTGCTGGAGCCTGCAAAGATGCAGAACGTATGTAATTTCCAGTTTCAGAGGAGTCACAATTCACCTCTCCCTTGCTCTACCCAATGCTCCCTCCATTCCACAAGTACTCATCAAGCATGTACTGTGTGTGAATGGTAAGGCACTGGCCATTCTTCATGGCCTCACAGAGTTCACAGTCAGCTGTGTCCTGATCATATGATGGATGTGAGGTTCCATGGGAGCACAGTGTTGAACCTGGGAGGTGCAGGTTGTAGTGAGGAGATGAGGAGGTTACAGACAGGAGACAGGGAAATATTGGGTAGAAGAGGGCAGTTCCCCAGCAAAGGCCTGACCCTCAAGCCTGGAAACCCATGGCCCTAAATGGGAACAGGCATTCCTGTTTTCACACCCAAATGTTGCCTTTTGGCCTGTCATGCCCCCCTATCCTGTCCCTATATAAACTCCAAACCCCAGGCTCCATGAGCAGAAGAGCAGCAGAGGAGAGAAGAGAAGGAATATCTGAATGTCGAGAGGAGTTCTGCTGCAGACAGTTAGAGAGGAGATTGGCTGCTGGACGGCCCAACTCCAGGGGAAGATCATCTTTCTACTCCATCCCCTTTCCAGCTCCCCATCCATCCATCCCACTGAGAGCCACATCCACCACTCAATAAAACCCTGCAGTCACCATCCTTCAAGTCCATGGGTGACCTGATTTTTCTGGATGCCAGACAAGAACTTGGAATATGGAAAGCTGTCACACTGGCCCTCTGCCCTTGCAAAAAGGCAGAGGGTCCACTGAGCTGTTTAACACTTAAGCTGTCTGCAGACAGCAAAATTAAAAGAGCGCACTGTAACACACAGCTAACTGGGCTTTGGGAGTCACAGGCACCCATCCCTAGACACTACTGTGGGGCCAGAGCCCAGAAGTGCTCGTCCTGGCTCCTGCACCTGCTCATCTGCATGCTCCCCCTCCCATAAGGAGTTTGAGCAGTGGTGGTGGCTGAACTGATGAGCCATATGCCTGTTGCATGTCCTGCAACCGGGGTGGGTCAGGGAACTCTCCCGTTTCAGCAGTAAGAAGAGGAAGGTGAACTGGGACCAATGGAGTTTGCTGGAAATGATAGCCCCCAGAAAGTACCAATCCCAGTGCTAGGGATGATGCCAGCATTCTAGTGTAATTCACTCTGCTAGTGTAATTCTGCAACACTTTTGTCTTTTTGATTTTGAAACCACCGTGAAAGGATACAGCCTAGAACAGTGCTGTCCAATTGAAACAGCAATAATTTTTAATGGTCTAGTAGCTATATGAAAAGAGGAAAAAGAAACAAGTAAAATTAATTTCAATATTTTACTTAACTAAATATATTCAAAATTGTATCATTTCAACATGCAATCGATATAAAAATTGGTAATGAGTTATTTTATATTCATTTTTACTAAGCTTTTGGAATCGGGTCTGCTTTTACTCTTTCAATGCATCTCAGTTGGGACTAGCCCTATTCTATGGGCTCAGGAGCCTCACGTGGGCACCATGTTGGACAGGAGCCTCACAGGGCTAGTGGCCACCATGCTGGCCACCACGCTGGACTGCGCAGGTCTACAAGGACCCTGCTGTCTGAGGACTCCTTGCACGATGCAGAGTTCAGTTAAGGGTCCACAGAACAAAAGCGACAGAACACCTCCAATATTTTAGAAGAAAGTAGGATGAGGTGAGCTGGGGACATGGGGAAGATTAGAAAATTAAACCTAATCTTTTTTTTTTTTTTGAGATGGAATTTCACTCTTGTCACCCAGGCTGGAGTGCAATGGCACGATCTCCGCTCACTGCAACCTGTACCTCCCAGGTTCAAGCAATTCTCCTGCCTCAGCCTCCCAAGTAGCTGGAATTACAGGTGTGTGCCACCACGCCCAGCTAATTTTTGTATTTTTAGTAGAGACGGGGTTTCGCTTTCGCCATATTGGCCAGGCTGGTCTCAAACCCCTGACCTCAGGTAATCCGTTCCCCTCAGCCTCCCAAAGTGCTGGGATTACAGGCATGAGCCACCACGCTCGGCCGAAAATTAAACGTATTCTAAGACAAAGAAATTCAGATTTTTTTTTTTTCGAATAAAGGATGCTGTGTTTATTTTCAGCCTTTGGACGACCCATATGAGTTTCACTTCACACTGTGTTGAAGAAAAGAGCTGCAGGGGACAGAAAATCAGTCAAATTAAAGAAAATATGAGGCGTAACTGCCCTGCAGTGAGAGCATATGAATTTTTCTGCCACACACTCTGAGTCATTTGTTAAAGAAAGCCAGAGAATAAGAACTGTCCTGGGTTATCGCTAACTTTCACTGTGTCTGATTTACTTGTTTGCACACTTTGTCAAATCTTGGACCAGGGACAGATAGCGTCCAGGCCATTACTCAAGGGGAAGACTGTTGATCAGAGTACACTGCAAACAAACATCTGTTTCTGATGGCTGCAGCACCATCCTTCATTATAGAATGAGCTTAATAAACACGAAGTCATAGAAATCCACCATTCACGTAAGTTTTGGCCTGGTGTTATTGCAGTCTCTTAATTTAGCCAACAAAGAAGGTTGGCTCAAAGACACCTGTTTTTGCATGTAAAGTATCAGGCTGGAAGGCTTGGTCGGGCATGGTTTTAGCAACAGGACTTTCATTTGTGATAGTTCAGTCACGTCCTGGGGAATTGAGGAGAAGATCCACCCTACCAAAGGCCAGTCTTGCTTTAGCACCAAAGAATTAATTTTAAAAGTTAGAGTTGGCCGGGCATGGTGGCTCACATCTGTAATCCCAGCACTTTGGGAAGCCAAGGTGGGCAGATCACCTGAGGTTAGGAGTTTGAGACCAGCCTGGCCAACATGGTGAAACCGCATCTCTACTAAAAATACAAAAACGTTAGCTGGGCGTGGTGGTGGACGCCTGTAATCCCAGCTACTCAGGAGGCTGAGGCAGGAGAATTGCTTGAACCCAGGAGGCGGAGGCTGCAGTGAGCCGAGATTGTGCCACTGCACTCCATCTTGGGCGACAAGAGCAAGATTCTGTCCCCACTCCCCACCAAAAAAAAAAAATTAGAGTACTGATCTGGATTTCACCCTTGAAGTTAAGCACACACTAATGACAGAAGCTGAAATAAATCCCCCAAATGTCTTGAACACTTTCTAGGCTTGTGTCTCTCCATGAGATTCTCAGACAGCTGCATTTGGATTTCCGGGGGCTGGACTGGATCTCAGATGTTTCTGGCCCAGAACCTCTGCCCTAAATGATTATTCATGAATGTTCTGGCTCAAAGGAGGAGAGAGAAGATGAGAGATCCAGAGGTCTGAGATGTTTGTTCACACACCAATCTCTGGAGCGGAAGCCGTTAATGCTTCTACTTATATTCTTAAGGCCTCTTAAAGAAGGTTCCCAGCTTGGGGCTGGGTAATAATGGTGAGAGCATTTCCCACATTATCCTCTCGATATGCATCTCTGCCATGACTATCAGACAATGGTGAGAGCCAGAACCACTTAGAGAGCTGATTGTCATCACCGCCCTGACAGTCTCAGTGGCAGGCCAGGCTCTAAAGGCTCCTCTGGATGCCTGTTGGCCAAAGATAACTCATGCCTCGGGGGTCGTGAGCAGGAGGTGAAGCCAAATGCCTTCAGTGACCTGAAAAATGCTATCTCCCAGCAACATGCACACCTTGCAGTGTCTTATGAAATTATAAAATAAAACCCAGACTTATAAGACTCTTCCCCTGCCTAAGTTTTCTTTTTCTCTCTCAATTTTATTGCTTTGCTAAGGACATAGAAAGCAAACTAATTAAATGACAGCTAAAGAGCAAGTGACTGTGTCCCAGGGCGGCTGAGATAATGCGCGGATCTCAGGTGAGTCGAGGAAATGCCACAGACATTGCTGCCTCTCTACTAATAAATAGCTTTTTGGTCCCATAACATGAGAGACATTCTGGAAGCTGTGGGGGAGCAAAAGATGGCTTCCCTCTACCCTCCCAGGTTCTTTGGCTGGGCTATTGATTAAAATGGCATATAAACAGATTAACAGGAGAAAGAGCATATTCAATTCTGTACACATGAGAGTCCCACAGAATATGAGACTCCAAGAAGGGTTAGATCATGGAAGCCTACAGAACTATATCCTAGATACAGAAAAGAACAGGGGCTTGGGGATTCTTGTGAGGGGGAGGAGGTTAGAGGAGGGCAAGGAGAGGAATTGTATGGTGAATAAAGGTTGTCTTATTATGTAGATAAACAATCTCTCAGGTAATAAAAGTTGTCTCCGAGCAGCCCTGAGCAGAACAGGCAGTAGTCTCTCCAGGCATGGTGTCCACGTACTCATCTTCCCCGGCTGACACAATTCCCTGGGAGGGGATTCACGACAACTGAGATCCATCAATTGTATTTGCAGAGAAGCTAGTTCAGAGAAAGGCCCTCCCCGAATTTGCTGTTCCCCAAGTGTCCTCTGTTAAGGAGTCAGCACACCAAAGCATCATATTTTGAGGTGGCATTTCCTGAACTCCTGCAAAGCTGAATAACAATGGAGAGTGAAGCATCAACTGTTCTCAGTGCTGGGCGCCCTTCCTCCCTCTCGATTTAGTGGCACAGACTGTTAGAACTGCAGGGCCCTCAGAGAGCTGATCATCTGTAGGGTAGAATACTGCCCCTTTTTCTTCTGGCTCTCTTAATAATATTGGGACCTAATATTCTATATTTTTAAAAATTGCCTAACGACATAGATCATGGCAAACACTAAAAAAGCACAAAAAAGCCAGATTGTTTTGATAATAACAATGATCTAACTCCTTATTCTTTGAAATCCCATCTCTGTGATGAGAACCAAATTTTCAAAAGGCTAATAGCTCATAAAGGGCCCTTTACTGTTGTCCTGTGGAGAAACGGAAAAACGCTCATGGGGTCGGTTATTGTTCCAAATCAAATCATTCCTTTATCTCACAAGCATTTGTTGAGAGGATGCTTCTCTCTGGCAGTGCAGGGCCTCAGGGCAGGAGCACGTAATGACTCTGCCCCATCTCTGTGAGAATCACTCTCTGGAGAGCCACGCTTTTATCCTCTGCTCCTCAGCCTATCTTCTCCCTAGCCCTCCTTTGCCTAGATGACTTGGAATAGGGATTGCTATGGTTTGAATGCTTGGCCTCTCTGGAACTCATGCTGAGATTTTATTCACGTGAAGTCTTTCAGAGGTTATTAGGTCATTAGGGCTCCACCCTCATGAATGCATTAATGCTGTGAGGTGGGAGTGGGTTACTGTGGGAGGAGCTTTGTTAAAAACCTTTCTCTCTCTTTCACACATGCCTTTGCCCTTCTGCCTATCTGCTGTGGGATGATCCTGGCCAGATGCCAGCATCATGCTCTTGGACTTCCCAGCCTCCAGAATCAAGAGCCAAATAAACTTTTCTTTATAAATTACCCAGTCTGTGGTATTCCATGTAGCAACAGAGATCATTCTAGGGAGTACTCTGATTCCCCATTAGGAAATCCCTTTGGGCAAACCTCCCTGACCCCAGGCCTGGGTTTGCTGTTTCTCCTGTGTGTTCTCACCACTCTGTACTGACCTGATCCTAAATCCCTCCACCCTGCACTGGGTATTTCCTTATCCATCATCCCTACTAGACTCAAGTTCCCAGCTCTCTCACCCCATGTGTTCTGAGAGCTGCTATCTAAGTACTTGGCCCTGAGTAGGAGCTTAATAAAGGTTTATTCTAGGAAGAAAAGAAAGAAGAACACAGGCACCTAGACAGAAAATTGTGTGGCAACGCATAGACGGGATGACAGAGGTTAGAGCAGTCACAGAGGAGGAGATGATTGCTCTCCCTGGACAGTCTGTCCAAATTCCACAGCCCCAGTGACACTTTGTGTCTTGAAGGGTAAACAAGATTCATCAAGACGCAAACAAGACAACTCTATAAATTGAGCTAATATCATCAGTGTCCATGAGCCACTGAACGCAGTTTCTTGTCTCAGTGACCCCAATGGCATCTGCAAAATTTAGTTAAGATTCAAAATTAAGAGAACAAAAATGTGTCAGGGTGTCTCTAAGTTTACATTATCTGTAAGAATTCATTTCTATGGCTCTGTGTTCAGAAAGACTTTTCTGCAGGAAAATTTATCATGGTGTATATCACTCCCTGCACAATGACGCAAGTCAAAATCAAGCATTTTCCATGGGAAGGCTCTGTTTCTAAGGATTGAAATGCTTATTCAGATAAGTCACTGAAATGGCACAGATGGCCACACCTGCCCCTTTATTGCTACAGAGAACCTGACATCCTCTTTCAAGTCGGTAGCAACATACTTCTAAAAACAGAATGCGAAGCCGTAAATACTGCAATGGAATGGAGTTCCAGCAGAAAAGTATATGTTTCTGTAAAGTCATAAAAAGGGGGACTAATTCTTCTCTTACTGGGATGGTCTGATATACGTTTAATGTTTTATATTTTCATTGAAGGCAGGAAGATAGACTAAATGATAACATTGCTTCCCACCTTCTCCTCCAGCTCTGACTCTTTAAACTGAATGCTGATTTATCTCTCCAAATATCTCACAGGCCTTTACTTTATTATGGGCCAGGAACAAATGGCAGTGGGTGAAATAGGCTTGGTCACACAGTGACAAGATTTACAATGGGATTTGGGGGAAAAGTCATTAGTCGTCATTTGCCATCCTGTGTTCATGCCCCTCTTTTTCAAAATTGCTGTTTAAAAGTGGGTCTGACTGGGCATGGTGGCTCATGCCTGTAATCTCAGCACTTTGGGAGGCTGAGGCAGGTGGATCAATTGAGGTCAGGAGTTCGAGACCAGCCTGGCCAACATGGTGAAACCCCGTCTCTACCGAAAATGCACAAATTAGCCAGGCATGGTGGCACACATCTGTAATCCCAGCTACTTGGGAGGCTGGGGCAGGAGAATTGCTTGAACCCAAGATGTGCAGGTTGTAGTGACCCAAGATCGTGCCATTGCACCCCACTCCAGCCTGGGTGACAAAGCAAGACCCTGTCTAAAAAATAAAATAAAATAAAAATTAAAAATAAATAAATAAATAAATAAATAAATAAATAAATAAATAAATTTGGGTCCACCATAATCAGCATTTTGGGCCAGCTTCCAGGAGAAAGGGAAGGGAAACTGAGGGTCCATGAGTGCTCACAGCCAGGCAGGCTCGTGTTCCAAGTCTCGTACCCGTTGGGCCATTTGAGAAGTGGCAACAGGGGATCAGCAGAAGGGTTAACTGCCAAGTCTATGCCTGTTCCTACCAATTTGGCAGTCCAAATAGATTTTTCTTTTAAAGTAGACTTTTGCTCCCACTAATTTGGAAAATGATGCTTTTCTTTGCTGAAGAGGAATGTCAAGTTAATTTCAAGGATCTAAAATAAACATATATCTGACACTGGCTCAGCATGGGAGTAAACCCACCTCCTTAAGAGCACTGGGAAAGAACCTGATAAGGGAAGCTGGGGATTGGTCTGTGGATGGAAATGACCCTCACAATCTCCTGGCTTTATGTTTTGTTCCTTTATACATACGTATATATATACACATATATACACACACATATATATACATATATACACACATATATATACACATATATATACATACATATATACACACATATATACATATACACATATATACATATATATATATACACACACTTGATTTGAGGTGTTGGTTTACAGTAAAATCTTCCCACTTAGCATCTACTTTTCTCAATTTTTTTCAAAGTCATGAAGTTTAGTTTGATGTTATCTAAAAGGGTGCTGATCCACTATGGGCACATTTTAGCTATTTTTCTCAAATCCACCAAAAACGTAAGGTGGTTGCTTTCAAGTTCTTCTTTTAGGGCGAGATGTCTGCTCAGTATATAGAAACTTTTTAAATGCTTCAATCACTGTAACTTGATAGGAACTTCCTATTTTGTTTCTTTGAATGGTACCCTAAGTTCTGCTTTATAATATCAGTAACCACAGGATTTTGAGTGCAATGCTCTATATAGCACAACAAAGTGGCTTCTTAGTATTAGCCCGAAGGAAATATGTTTTGGGTTAATGGCAATACAGTGACTTTCAACAAAAACTCCTTTGGCCCCAGTCATTTCCATTCTCTGCAGGCAAAATGGATCCTTCTCTCTTTGTGTTCAGTGATGAGCAAGCATTTCAAATGTACATACAACTTGTTTCTGTCAATCAGTGATTCACGCCGAGTCATGTTCAATCATGTTACCACAATCTGGAATTTGCAAATCTGTAAGCATTTCTCAGGCAATGAATTATGTCAACACAATTGCACCATCATTGATGGACTTGGAAATGCAGACAGAACTGAAGAGGAGCGTCTCGGCACTGCTGCTACGGGTAAGGACAGAGCTTCTTGCTGACTTGGAAACATCATGAGCTTAGGCCAGCCAAGGTTTAGGCTCGTTGGATATTTTTAACAAAATGGGACTTCAGAGAAATTTAATTAAGATTTATTTCAAATTAAGATCACCAAATTATATTTACATAAAAGCCTCTATAATGAGTATGCTATATTTGTCATTAAAATGTCTTTATATTTTTATAAATATGGTTTCACAATTTTTTACAGAGTCATAATCTACATGGAAAACAAAAAGTCATACCAAAATTATAACTGCTAAGAGAGATGTTAATGGTAATTAATCATGAGTGAGTCATAAATATAGAAACGCACTGACTTGATAAATAAGAAACAATATTGCTTCTCATTTGGCAAAGCTGAAAAGGGAGGGGCTGGGGAAGGGGGCAGCTGCACTCGGTGGGAGGCTCTGCACACTGGCACAATTGTTTGCTGGGAGGTAATTTAACAGGACTGAAATGCCTCCATTCTAAGATGACATTAATGGTAAAAAGCACCTTCAATTTAATAGTGGCTTGACCAAAGAAAGAAAAGCTCCATCATACTACCATTGTAAACATCCACATCAATTTACAATATCCTGATTTCAGAAATGTTAAAATACACAAAAAGGTACTTCTTAGAGTTGAGGATAAGTGTTGGATGCAAAGCTGTCAGGCCTCTGAGTCGAAGCTCAGCCATTATAACCCCTGTGACCTGCACATATACGTCCAGATGGCCTGCAGGAGCCAAGAAGTCTGAAGCAGCCAAAGAAAAACCACAAAAGAAGTGAAACAGCCAGCTCCTGCCATAACTGATTGACCAACCTTATGACATTCCACCATTATGACTTGTTCTGGCCCTGCCCCAACTGATCAGTTGACCTTGTGACATTCTTCTTTCGGACAATGAGTCTTATGATCTCCCCACCATGCACCTTGTAATCCCCTCCTCTGCTAACAATAGATAACCTCCTTTAACTGTAACTTTCCACTGCCTACCCAAGTCCTATAAAGCTGCCCCTCTCCTATCTCCCTTCGCTGACTCTCTTTTTGGACTCAGCCCACTTGCACCCAAGTGAATAAACAGCTTTATTGCTCACACAGAGCCTGTTTGGTGGTCTCTTCACATGGACAGGCTTGACAAAAGCTTTAAAAACATGCACATGCTTTGACTCTCTAACTTCCTCTTCTAGGAATTTTTCTTTTTAGAGAAAAGTCAGGAACACAGGAAAAATTCGGCCGTGGGAAAATTATCATCATTCCGCAAGATACACATTTACATAAGTCATGGCACACCCTGACAAATGGTCATCATTAAACATGGCGTTAGAGAAATGCAAAGATGTTTGTGACACACAATTAAGGGTGAAAAACTGGTAAAAAAAAAAAAAAAAAAAGCCCATCAGCATAAACTCGTCTCTGTTAAAATTGCGGACATGTGGGTTTGCGTATACATGTAAAACGTATCTAGAAAGCTCTACAGCAATGAGTCAAAAATCCCATGTCCAGCCACGTGGGATTATGTTTGTTTTCTAGGTTTTCCTTTTTTTTTTTTTTTTGGTACAATTTACTGACATTGTCTAATGAGTATGTATTACTTTTGTAATAATAAAAACTCTTTCATTTTTCCACTTAACAATATTGAGGGCTGATGAGCCTGTGCCATGGGTCAGGGGGTCGGCGAGGCTGATACCGGGAGTGGACATGTGTGGAATGCAAGTAGGATCTGCAGGAAGAAAACAGTTGTGGGAATGCTGTTGGTGGCAAGATCTGCTGTGTATGTTTTGTCCCCATACAATGTCACTAGAAACCATTCATGGGCATTAAAAAAGAATCCACAATGACATCTCTTTTCATTATTTCATTAAAATAAAACATTAGGAAATAGCCAATGAAATCTTATCTAAAATGAGGTGGACTTTGCCCATTTATATGCTATCCCCCCAAGTAATTCACAAGCATGCAGCAAGACTTGCAGATGCTGTATTAAGGAGGCCACATTTTAATTTTAATTTTTATTTTTTGAGACAGAGTCTCGCTCTGTTGCCCAGGCTGGAGTGCAGTGGTGCAATCTCAGCTCACTGCAACCTCTGCCTCCTGGGTTCAAGCGATTCTCCTGCCTCAGCCTCCCAAGTAACTAGGACTACAGGCTCCCATCACCATGCCCAGCTAATTTTTGTACTTTTAGTAGAGATGGGGTTTCACCATATTGGCCAGGCTGGTCTCGAACTCCTGACCTTGTGATCCACCCGCACTGGACTCCCAAACTGCTGGGATTACAGGTGTGAGCCACCACCCCCGGCCAGGAGAACACATTTTTAAACTCTGTGGTAATGGTTGAGAATACTCTTCATTACTACAAGCATTTTGGACAGAAAATCTCTGAGACGATGACAGCATTGTGTGTTCTCTAAAGCGCCAGGTTATAACGGCCATATGTCTCCCTGAGTAGGATTTTCCAGAAGAAATTACCAAATGGCACACAAAAACGCAGTGTGCTGACACTAATACATAAAATGCGGAAGGACCCAGTCTTTCCAGAGTGCCCCTTTCTCAGGACATAGACAAGTAGCTTTCCTACTGACAGCACCTCTCAGTTCAAAGGAAAGTGGTGTGCTTGCTGGATATTTTTAGATTGCCAGAATGTTCAGTGGAATCACATAAGGCCGTCACTATAAAAATGAAAGCAAGCCCAACCTTGGTGTGATGTTTTGCAATAAACAGCAATCCATGGAATAAGAATTTAAGACCCAATTTGAGGTCACGTGCTGCAAACCCAGTGTTCTTTCAGAGTCAGGTCGCTGTTAGATGACAACCCCTTCAGCACCGGCCTGAAGAAAGCGCAGGCCCAGTGGCAGTCTGCCTTCTGTTAATTCCCAAGGTTCTCAGCATTCCTCAGATCAATAGAACTGTGATGTATCTATATAAATCTGAGTAGCAGATCCATTCTCATAAAGTTTACCCTGTCTTGCTTTTCAGGTGAGAAGCAGAATTGGAAAATATTTCAGGGAGTATTTGAAACAGGAAGATTAAATTCTGTCTCATGTGTATCATGAATAAAAGTGCTAAGCCAGGCACAGTGACCTTTCCTGTACCTGTGCTAGGATGCAAAAGATCATAGGTGTAGGCTCTGGGCAGCCCGTGCATCTGCTGGGTCAGCGGTCTGGCACTTTTTTTGAGTGTCTGCTGCCCTTGAAGAAGGGGATGGGGAAGGATTGCATAAGTTGTGGCAGGGGGCCTGGGGCAGGTGGGTGGCCAGGAATCTGAAGGAGAGTGAACATGAGTGAGAGTACGAGCATGTCTCAGCTGGTAGCCCTTGTCCCAGAGCTGGTGGCCTGCTGTGTCCTCCTCCAGTGTATCTGGGAGTGGTGGTTGATGTGAGCGCCATGCTGAGCCCCGCTCATACCCACTGGGCCCAGCTCTTTTTCAGTCCTTTCCTGGCCTGGGGGAAGCACGTACAATCCCTGAGCTATGAACAGTGGCACCAGCTTTTAAGTAAGGATGAGGGCTTCCCAACCAACTGTAAGGGGGCTGCTGGTTTGAGCTTTTCAGGTTTCACAGCAAGCTCTTGGTCCCCTAAGGCCCTGCTCCTGGCAGATACTCTAAGGAGCCCGGGTCTGAGCTGGACACACACAGCAGCGAGAGGGGAAGGGCGAGCTATTTCCTCCATTCTGGTGCTCATCGTGGGCCATGCGTTGGTTACAAGGAAGCAGATGGAGTTGGGGAAACATGGAATGGAGGATGGGGAGGATGCAGGGAAGAGAATCGGGGTCACTGTGAGGGAGGGGCAACAGTGCCATGGGAAATGCATCATTGGTGCTCATGACAACGGCACGCCAAGGGGCTTGATGGCAGCAGCCTCAGGTATGGGCAGAACGTTGAATCCTCAGAATGATATGGGATTCCTTAAAACCAAGCAAAGCAACTCATCACCTACCCATAAGAATAACAGAAAGGGCCACTCGATGGTTTGATCATGTTTACAAAATCTGGCTAAACAGGAAGTTTCATCCTGAAACCGGTTTCCTCAGGTGGAAGGAAGGCAGTTGACTCATCCTGCTTCCCTGTAGTAGATTTTATTTTTCAGATAAAAAACCTAATATTATCAGCGGTGATATAAACCAGTGCAGGGCCTCTGGGATGCTGGCAAACTCTAGTTTCACTGTGAGGCAGGATTTAGGGCCTCTGTTTTTACTCATGAGACCCTGGAGGCTCTAGGTCAGTGACATGGCTTGGCTGTGTCCCCACCCAAATCTCACATTGAATTATAGTAATCCCCACACGTCAAGAGTGGGGCCAAGTGGAGATAATCGAATCATGGGGGTGGCTTTCCCCATACTGTCCTTGTGGTAGTGAATAAGTCTCACAAGATCTGATGGTTTTATAAAGGGGAGGTCCCCTGCATATGCTCTCTTGCCTGCCGCCATGTAAGACATGCCTTTGCTCCCTCATTGGCCTTCCGCCATGATTGTGAGGCCTCCCCAGCCATGTGGAATTGTGAGTCAGTTAAACCTCTCTCCTTGATAAGTTACTCAGTCTCAGGTATGTATTTATTAGCAGTGTGAGAACAGACTAATACAGTCAGAGAGTCTGGGGGCCATGGCGACAGGGATGCCTAAGAGACCAACACAGTGTCTGTCTGCGAACTCACTCATTCCCTTCTCACTCACTCCTCCACTCATTCATTCCTTCCTTACTCATTCCTCCATTCACTCATTGCTTCCTTGCTCATTCCCCCACTTATGCATTCTTCCACTCATTCCTTCCTCACTCATTCCTTCCTCACTCATTCCTCCACTCAGTCATTCCTCCATTCACTCATTCCTTCACTCACTCATTCCTTCACTCACTCATTCCTCCCTCACTCATTCCTCCACTCATTCATTCCTCCACTCACTCATTCCTCCCTCATTCCTTCCTCACCCATTCCTTCTTCATTCATTCCTTCCTCATTCATTCCTCCACTCACTCATTCCTCCACTCACTCACTCCTCCCTCACTCATTCCTCCACTCATTCATTCCTTCCTCACCCATTCCTTCCTCATTCATTCCTTCCTCACTCATTCCTCCACTCATTCATTCACTCATTCATTCCTCCACTCACTCATTCCTTCCTCATTCATTCCTCCATTCACTCATTCCTTCCTCACTCATTCCTCCACTCACTCATTCCTCCACTCACTCATTCCTTCACTCACTCATTCCTTCCTCACTATTCTTCCACTCACTCATTCCTTCCTCACTCATTCCTCCACTCACTCTTTCCTTCCTCACTCATTCCTTCCTTCCTCACTCATTCCTCCACTCACTCATTCCTCCTCTCACTTATTCCTTCACTCACTCATTCCTCCACTCATTCCTCTGCTCACTCATTCGTCCACTCACTCATTCCTTCACTCACTCATTCCTTTGTCACTTATTCCTCCACTCACTCATTCCTCCACTCACTCACTCCTTTCTCACGCATTCCTCCACTCACTCATTCCTTCCTCACTCATTCCTCCACTCACTCACTCCTTTCTCACGCATTCCTCCACTCACTCATTCCTTCCTCACTCATTCCTCCACTCACTCATTCCTTCCTCACTCGTTCCTCCACTCACTCATTCCTTCCTCACTCATTCCTCCGCTCATTCATTCCTCCGCTCACTCAGTCCTTTCTAACTTATTCCTCCACTCACTCATTCCTCGGCTCACTCATTCCTCCACTCACTCATTCCTTCCTCACTCATTCCTCCGCTCACTCATTCCTTTACTAACTCATTCCTTCCTCACTCATTCCTCCATTCTATAATTCCTTCACTCACTCATTCCTTCCTCACTCATTCCTTCACTCACTCATTCCTTCCTCACTCATTCCTTCACTCACTCATTCCTTCACTCACTCCTTCCTCACTCATTCCTCCACTCACTCATTCTTTCCTCACTCATTCCTCCACTCACTCATTCCTTCACTCACTCATTCCTTCCTCACTCATTCAGTCAGCAAGAGCTTATTAAGCAGCAGCTATGCACGTGTCCCTGTGGCCTGTGCTGGAGAAGGAACAGTAATCAGAGACAGGCTCTGTCTGCTCTTGCCTGCCTTCCTGACTGCTGGACTAGAATCTCGCAGGGATTGAGCTTTATTCTGGCAGCAAATTCAGCTCCTTTGGAAATTATATTACCTTTTCTGAACACCTAAATAACACCAGGAGGTCAAGTACGTGGAAGTCTGAGGGGCGGAGGAATGTGCATTTAGGGTCGTGGGACCCCTTCCCATTTATTTGTGGAAACCCACTGTCTCCCGGACACTGGCCTCCAGGGCACGGTCTGGAGGGTCTGTAAGACTCCCCGTGACATTCCTGTTCCTTGTTCCACTGCCAGGGTCCTGTCCTCCCTCCGCTTTCCCTTCACTTCCTGAGTCTCTTTCCATTAGAAGAAGAATTCATATACACATACTGCAGCAAAGGGAATGACAGCTGCAGCAGGTCGCCAGTGCATCAACACAGAGTAACCGAATACATCAGAGAGGACATAGGGATCTGGCCAGCTGGGAATGGAAGCCAAGTGGGCATGCTGCAGTGAGAACTGGGGGAGAAGGCCGGAACCTGGCGGGCTCATGTGGGCACGCTGGCCATGGTGGGATGGCAGCGTGGGCCAGGAAAGCCTGGGAACTGGGGGTGTTGGCATGAGATGAAGCTCACAGAGGCATGGGCTGCACCGGGTCCCAGGGACACCTGAGCACGTCTCAGGGCGCCTTCTGTTCACAGCTTCCCACAGGAGTCCAGCTGAGAAGGAAGCCACATGGCCATTCCTGAGAACAAGGATAATGCCACACAAATGAGATGTTCCAGCTCCCTAGCTCTGAGGAAGCTCATTCAAAAATGCAATTTTTAATTAAAAGGGAAACTTCCTGAGAGGACAGGGAGCATTTACAGCATGAAGTCAGGCAGGGTGAGCCTCACCCAGCTGCTGTTCCTTTCTCTTTCCTGCCTTCTGAAGAGGAGACTGTGGAAAGGGAAGCGAGGCAGAGGTGGCAGAAAGAGATGATAACTCCAGGAAGGAAGGGGTGCCTGAGAGAAGCAGCCAGGCAGAGCGGTGGGACGTGAAACTCCTCGACAGCACTGTGTCCTGGGCCGAGGTGGGGAGGGTCAGTGAGGGCAGGGTACTGGTGTCATTTTAATTCAGACTTCTCTCTTTCTTTGCTGCAAATGGCTCTCTGGAGCACAAACTCTCAACAAGGTGGAAACTCGACACTATGCTCTCAATCTCCATGCACAATTTTGCAGAAGAGGCTCTTTCCAGCATTTTCTCCCCAGATGTCAGAGCCGTGCACCCTTCTCCGGAAGGCTGGAGGGTGTTCAGCGTTGTTTGTCACAGGCAGCGGCCAGTCTCTGTGTTCTCGGGCGCTCTGTGTCAGGTCCTGGTATTTATTCCCAGATTCTGTTTAGATGCACCCGAGGCCCCAGGCAAAGGTTTCTGCCTGAGACAGTCCTTGGCCTCCAGCCACGGCTTCCGTGCCATGTCCCAAATGCAAAGTGCCACTCTCAAATGTTCTCTGATCTCCTGTTCGAAGCAAATAACAGAGTGCTAAAATCTTATTTAGAGGAGTCGTGGTAGAATTATTTATTCACTTCTAGCCTTTTGGCTGAGACTGTTTTGAAAAATAGAAAATGGCAGGTAATTCAGGTGTCACCCTTCAATGGCATGTGTTCTTCTTGATGTTTCACAGCTACTGCACATCTGATGAAGAGGATTTTTTTTAACTGAGTAAGGTCATCTTTTCCTGATGAAGCCCCAAAGTGCAAAAGGCATGAAAGGCACATTATGCTTCTCCACCAGAGGAGGGTCTCCGCAGGCAGGGCAGCCGCTGAACAGCACCGGGAGGGTCTGTAGTTGCCAGACTCTATTATTGTGGGCTATAAATTAAGAGGCTTCCGTTTCAAATACAAACTCTCTCATCAGTCACAGGAAATTAAATGCCTTTTGAAAGGGAGCTAGGCATAGGAGGAATTCACTTTCTTCCACCTACACACTGTTGGCAGCTCCTCAGAGGGAAGGACGGAGCCTGCCATTCTGCGGAGCGTCACCTGGTTCTTACCCACGACTTCACCGTGAGTGTGGAGTCCACAGGACTCCAGAGCTCTGTGGCCTGACTGCAGGGCAGTCTGCTCCCAAAGAGACTTGGGGAGAACATGGCTAACTCAACAGAATACAGAATAACACCGGAGAGGGGCACCAAGAGAGTGGTGATCACATAATTGAGACCTAGTCAGACCCAGTAACAACTTACCGTGTCCGCGAGGAACCATTCATGCAGAGAGGCCTCCCCATTTTCTGCCTTAAACTCATTTTATATACGTGGGGAATTGAGACTCCAAGATTACGAACATTTTCAAGATCCTCTGGCTAGTAGGTGATTTAGCTTAGAGTCAAATCTAGATTTGAACAACTCCATAATCATCATAATAAACAATAACGACACTACCTACATGAACTGAGCAATGGCTAAGTAGTAAGCATGTGCCGAACCCTTTACGTGAGTCAACTTAGTTGATCCTCAGATAATCCTGCGGCAGAGTGATTGTTCCAGCCACAGATGAGGAAACGCAGAGCCTTCCAGGTGTTATAACTCTTTTCTCACGCCTCTCTTACAATCCTCAGGAAATGTCGCCCCCCCCCCCCCCCGACCCCCCGCCAGCCCCCGACCGCCCGGAACTAAGCCACAGCCACCTCCTGCCCTGGTTGCTGCAATAGTCTAATCTCTCCTGGAGTCTGCCCGGCCCCTCCTGAGCTTCGTCCCAGACAGCAGTCAGAGCAGGACTTCAGATGTTGTCAGTTCTGCTCTCACTCCCCGCCACTGCCCATTTCACTGGGAATGAGAGCCAGGGGTCCTCACCAGGCCTCCCCACTGCGTCCCTCTCTCCCCACAGTGTCTCCTGGAGCTGCATTGCTCTCTGGATGTGCCAGAACATGCCGTGGGCTTTCATCCTGCGTCACTCGACTGGGAATGCCCTGGGATCCTGCAGGTGCCCACCCAGCTGGCTCCCTCCGGGTCCCGTCTTTACTCAAATCGCACCTTCTCGATGAAGTTTACTCTGAAGTTCAACCTGCTCTTCCCATCCTCCCACCCCAGGCGCAGCAGATCCGCCTTAACTGGACTCCCCCGCTTTGCTTCCACGGCGCCTATGGAAATGCTCTGACACAGAGGTCAGCGAACCACTTTACAATCACATTTTACTGGGACACAGCCACACCTTTTGGTTCGTGTATTGTCTGTGGCCACTTTCACAGAATGACCAGTGGCCCTCAGAGCTAACAGACGCACTGCCTGGCCCTTTACTGAAAAGTGCGGCCACCTCTGCTCTAACATAACTGGAGAGCTTGATGACGGATTGGGCTTGTTTTTCTCGGTCTGTTTTCCCCCGAGGAGAGCGCACACACTGGGGGGCAGGAACTTTGTTTCTTTTGAGCACTGACGCCTCCCAGTGCCTAGAACAGGACCTGGCTCGTAGATGATGCCAGTTCATATTTGTTGAATAAATGTGTGAATGAGGCATATATTTGCTAAACAACTCACCCAAAGTCACTCCAGTGATAGGCCCATCAGCTCTCGGCATCCAAATTCAAACCCAGGCAGACCAACAGAGAGTAATAGCAACAGAGACCCGTTCTTACCAGTGACCCCCGACCAGCCTCATCCGCTGCTGCCTCGCAGGAGACAGTGTCCTATATTTGCTCATAAAAACCAGGCAGGGAAAAAGGCAAGCTACCAGCTTTTAATCTTATTAATATGGGCCAGAAAGGATGGTTCATGGTTCTGACCATAAGACAAAGTGCTTCAAGGCAAGGCTTGTATCAACCGTGCTACGGAGTTGATACACACCGAACTGTCACCCGTCCTCCTGCCCAGGGGCCTTGGCGTTTTGAAGACTCCCCCATCTAGACGTCCAGCAGATGCTGAGCACCCAGGAGAGAGGTCAGAATGCAGGATTTGCATTGAAAGCCACGTCTATTGGGGAAGCAGCTAAAGCTCTGGAATGAGGTACCAGAAAGAAGAAAGGAAGATGGAGGAAAGAACTCTGGAGGGAGATGGGGCCGAGGAAGGAGTAGGAGGTGTGGCTATGCTAGCTCATGCTCACCCCTCATTCAAGCTCCAGACCTGGGCCAAGAGCAAGAAGAGAGCTTGCTTGTGGGTCCAGAGTTTCTGATGGCAGCGGGTTTTTGATGGCCTGTAAAGTCATCTAACGGGCTTGGCGCAGTGGCTCACGCCTGTAATCCCAGCACTTTGGGAGGCCGAGGCTGCCAAATCACGAGGTCAAGAGATCAAGACCATTCTGGTCAACATGGTGAAACCCTGTCTCTACTAAAAATACAAAAATTAGCCGGGTGTGGTGGCGCCTGCCTGTAGTCGCAGCTACTCGGGAGGCTAAGGCAGCAGAATCACTTGAACCTGGGAGGCGGAGGTTGCAGTGAGCAGAGATGGCGTCACTGCACTCCAGCCTGGCAACAGAGCCAGACGCCGTTTCAAAAAAAAAAAAAAAAAGTCATCTAATGCCTCCAAGACCACACGCTATTGATTTAATCTCTGAATTAAAGGTCTCTGAATTAAAGTGTATAAATGTACCTTCTCCCATAACTCTGAGAATGGGGTTTGTGTCTTAGAAAAGAAAAAACTCACGGGGCTGGGGGTTACATCTATTGTTTCCTGTAATTGTCACAGCAGTACTCAATACACACATTTTCACAGGCAAGGAAACTCAGGTTAAATAACTTTCACAACACATTGGAAATTTAGGCTGCCAATTAGTCATCCCTCCGGCCCCCCTGGGTTTTAACCTCTAGACCTAGAGAACCAAATTAGATGAAAATACCAGCTTTTGTAAATCAACAGTGTCTAATAATCCCCCAAGGACAGGGCCCTAGGCAAAGCTGAGCTGGGGGAATGTAGACAGACCTCCTACTTTCCACTCCAAACCTAGACGCAGACTCAGTGGCCCACCCAGGGGCATGAGTAATGCTGGGAGCTGCAGGCTGGCTTCCCACGCTCCCTCCTGGGCCTGGCCCCCAGGCCTGGCTGACTCCATGGGGGGCCTGGCAGTATCACAGCGCAGGGCTCTCAGGCTGCCAGCAGAGCAGCTGTTGTGTTTTCAGCTGCTTATTCTCACTAAAACTTCTGATAAGGCCATCTGGAAAAGTATTACTGTATATTAATAAAAATATTTAAATAAAGTTACAGAATGGAGAGATTTACTTTGGAAGTATTAATATGTAATGAGTTAGACAGATAACGTGTTTGAAGCAGCCTCTGCCAATCTGTTTACTCCACGGAGAGAAGAAGAACAGGTGTGTCAAGCCAAACATCTTTCCTTGGCACTTGAACTGCCTTACTTGGAGCAGCTCTGACAAGCTTATTTTTGTGGTGGTGGTTGGGGGAACCCAGCATTTTTAGAGAAGAAAAGAGCAATCTTCACTCCAGAAAGTGAATCTGTCTATATTCATGTATCGGCCTTGACGTGGTTTGATTTTTCTTTTTAACTCCAGTGTTGGTTCTTTGCTCTTTGAAATCAAAACATTCTGTATTATTTCTGGGATTATACCCAGCAAAGTGAGAACAGGAGCTTCTTTTAGTAAATAAACGTGATCATCTTCCGCCAGTAGGTGTCACTGTTCATTTAGCACAAACCATACCCGAAAGGCAAGGCAATTACCTCGGCTAAAATAACAAGCATGTTTTCTGGAAATAAAATAACCAGTAAGTACTGGGAAAAAGATTATTTTCTTTCACAGGTGTCTCCAAATCAAAGCTGAAGTGTGAACAACAATTCACTCTTTCTATGGCCTCCCACATAGTATTTGCTTCTAGAGCTTTAGCACCATTGTAAGAATTCCTTCTAAACCATGTTTGTACCTCAGATCTAACTGCCTGACCCTATAAACATTTTGCGGTTGACTTTGCTTATAAAATGCATTGGCATTTTCACATACAGGCGGTGGAGTTTTCTAGCGTTCCAGCCTAAATCAGAAAACAATGTCTGGTGTTGCCTACACAGAAACAATCGTATATCATAGAAAATTAGAAGTGAGGCAGTAAAGCGAGTCTCTGAAAATACGTTGGATGTAAACACATCGTTTACATGAAGGACATGGAATTATAAGTTCACACAGTGACACACAAATATGTAAGGTCATTAGTGTTCACTAAATGCGTAGCTATGCAATGAAAATGGTGAGAATCCTTTACGAGCTAACGTGCTACACAGAGTTTGATGCTTCTTGTGCGTGATCTCACCTGTTCCCCCACTTATGTGACCATTTTACAATGAAGAAATGGATGTTTAAAGAGGACAGTGAGGTCCCTGCGCCACAGTGGTAGAAAGTGACCAACTAGCAGTCAACCAGGAGATTTTTGGCCCTAGAACCTGAGGTCCTAACCACAACACAGAGGGCCTTTCCTTTTTTCTTTTTTCTTCTTCTTTTTTTTTTTAAATGGAGTCTCGCTCTGTTGCCCAGGCTGGAGTGCAGTGGTGCCATCTTGGCTCACTGCAACCTCCACCTCCTGGGTTCAAGCAATTCCCCTGCCTCAGCCTCCTGAGTAGCTGGGATTACAGGTACACGCCACTGCGCCTGGCTAATTTTTGTATTTTTTTAAAAAACGGGGTTTCACCATGTTGACCAGGCTGGTCTCAAACTCCTGACCTCAAGTGATCTGCCCACCTCTGCCTCCCAAAGTGCTGGGATTACAGGCATGAACCACCACGCCCAGCCTCCTCTGACTTTTGTAAGGGAAATAATTAGATTCTGCTTGTGTTGAATAATTCTAGCCAGGCCGGAGTTCAGTTCTAGTCCTCCTACTTCCGACTGATAGTGGCTCTGAGTAGTTCACTTACCATCTCTGAATTTCCATTTATTTCACTGTGAAAGGGGGAAATTGGTACCTACTTGTGGGATTGCTGTAGAGATTCAAATACCGTGTTTAAGAAAGTTCCTAGCACTGCGCCTGGCACGTAAAAGGCACTTGTTTAAGAACTTGATAAGGCTGGGCGTGGTGGCTCACGCCTGTAATCCCAGCACTTTGGGAGGCTGAGGAGGGCGGATCACGAGGTCAAGAGATCAAGACCATCCTGGCTAACACGGTGAAACCCCGTCTCTACTAAAAATACAAAAAATTAGCTGGGTGTGGTAGCACGTGCCTGTAGTCCCAGCTACTTGAGAGGCTGAGACAGGAGAATTGCTTGAACCCAGGAGACAGAGGTTGCAGTGAGCCGAGATCATGCGCCGCTGCACTCCAGCCAGAGCGACAGAGCGAGACTATGTCTCAAAAAAAAAAAAAAAAAGAACTTGATAAAGTAAAAAACCCTGATTTTTGAAATAAATTAAGAGTAATGAATATGCAATAAAGCATTCTTTTCTGAAATGCGTTATGAGAGGTCAGGAGTTAGTCTTAAGCAGTTTTCAAAGGTGCAAGGGCTGGAGTGGCCTCAGTTTATCTGGATAAAATGACTATATATGAACAGAGATGCCAACTGTTGGTGCCAGGCATGGCTCATGGGCTTTTGGCATGATGAACAGTTTCCTTTATTTTCTTTTTTTTCTTTCTTTATTTATTTTTGAGACAGGATTCTGCTCTGTCACCCAGGCGGGAGTGCAATGGTACAATAACATCTCACTGCAGCCTCCACTTTCTGGGCTCGGTGATCCTCCCACCTCAGCGTCCTGAGCTGGGACCACAGGCACGCGCCACCATGCCTGGCTAATTTTTGTATTATTTGTAGAGAGAGGGTCTCCCTATGTTGCCCAGTCTGGTTTCAAACTTCTGGGCTCCAGTGATTTCCCCCCCACATCAGCCTCAGTTTTCTTTACTTTTTAAAAATTAAGATCCTGATTTTACAAATGAAGAAAGCTCAAAGATGAAGTTACATGTCCAAGGTCACATAGCTGAAGAGAGAATTTGCCGGGCTGCTGGATCTTGTTTTTTCCATTTGCCGTACTAAATCATGTGCTACAATATTTGTGGTTTTCCTCAACTCCACAGAGCTTGCTTCTCTGAAATTCCTATTCCTTGCTAACCCCTAATTTTGTATGTGAACCATTGGAGACAGGGAGCACAAAAGGACAGCAAGAGAGAAAGCAATAAACTAAGTAGAGAAAGGAAGGATCCTCCTGGTCCTTATGCCTTTGAGTGATGATGTAAGAAAATCATGTGAAGTTCACCTGGGTGAGCCTTTACCCTCCAGGCACTCGAGGGCCCATACCCCACACCAGGAGAGTTGAGGCATTCCTCATCTTGATTTTGAATTGATGCTTGAGTGGGGGTACTTAAGTATTAATTGAAACGTGCTGAATTCCCAACATAAATGGAAATTCTCAGGTGACTTTGAATGGCAAAAATCAGTCCTTTCTAGACAATTAATGAGTAGATATAGAATTTCCATCCAAAAGTTGTAGAAAAGTGGTTAGAAGGGAGTTGGGTATTTGGCAGTTAGGCCTGGAGTTTACTTTCTGGGTCAGAACCAATGTCCTGAGTTCATGCAGAAATCACATTTGATCTTCACTAAAAATTAAGCAGGACCAGCATGAGGGTGGATAGAGAGTATGTTGTATCTTCTGTAGTTACAGCATAACTTCCTTTCCCCATGTAGCATTAACGGGGGAATGGAGGGGACTCCGGAGATCACAGGAAGAGTTTGTTCAGATAGAGACGTTTACCCCTTGAACTGTTTCCAACCCTGGCTGTTGTATATTATTCTAAAGAGACTACATTAGATATTTAGGGAAAAATTAAGGATAGTATAAAGTTAGCATAAGAAGAACTTTTGTGCAGGGTCTACACAGAAGAAATCACATGAAGAGTTTAAAAAGTATTTTTTAAAAAGTTAAAATTTTGAAATACGTTCTTGAAATTCTGGATTCAGTATAGTCAGAGATTTACTATCAGTGGTGTTGAAGAAATTCTTGGTATATTCTTCAGCAACAGAGTGGCTATGATAATGGAAAAAGGTTAGAATTTAGTGAATTTCAGAAGTAAAGAATTTTGATAGAAAAGAACAACTGAAGTTCTTTGGATTTCTATGTAGCATTTCTGTTTAACGAGTTATCATTATAGAAACATAATCTAGTAAAGGAAAATATTTTTCAAGTTTTACTCCAAGAAATCATTTGAGATAACTGTGGCAGGATCCACATAAAACTTATTAGCCAAGGATTCTACTTAGTTCCAGTTGAAAGTAAAACAGTAATAACCCAAAATAACCGACTAAGGAAACACAAATAAAATCTTTTTTTTTTTTTTTTTTTGAGATGGAGTCTCACTCTGTTGCCCACGCTGGAGTGCAGTGGCATGATCTCGGCTCACTGCAACCTCTGCCTTCTGAGTTCAAGTGGTTCTCCTGCTTCAGCCTCCCAAGCAGCTGGGACTACAGGCACCCACCACCACACCCAGCTACTTTTCGTATTTTTAGCAGAGATGGGGTTTCACCATGTTAGTCAGGCTGGTCTTGAACTCCTGACCTCAAGTGATCCACCTGCCTCGGCCTCCCAAAGTGCTGGGATTACAGGCATGAGCCACTGTGCCTGGCCAGACAACACAAATAAAATCTTGAGAAAATTAACTTTACACCTATCTCCTCTCTTTCTTTGACTAACGCCTATATTCTCATAGATGCTCTGTTTATGCTTCATTTTCTTGTTTCTTTTTTATTCCCCCTTTCTCTGCTGAAAGAATTATGAAGAAGGAAGAAAATTTGAAAGGAATAGAGGAAAATAGGAAGGAAAAATAGAGGAAAAAAGGAAGAAGGAAGGAAGAAAGGAAGGCAGGCAGGCAGGGAGCAAGGAAGGAAGAGAGAAAAAGGAAAAAATGCCCCAGAGGCAAATGACATATTTTCAAAGCTACTTCTTCTAGGCTGGTAATTTCCCAGTGCCCTGACCTTGCATTCCAGACTTCAATAAATAAACGGGGATGATGCCAATGATCGAGACGCCAACAGCAGCCCTTTTCTAGGGCTGACATCGACTGCCACATCACTCACAGCATGTGGACCAAAATATGAGACAAGCTGGGCATGCATTCAGACATTTTATTTGTGTCTTTTAGAAAGCATTTATATTTCCTATAAATCCATTTACATGTCAGTATCGTAGTGAGAAATGCACGCACTATGAGAAGGCCTTGAAACATCAGGAGCTGCAGCACTCTTAGAGCAGACTTGACAGCTGCACTGGGTGTGAGATATCAGCATCTTTAATGTATGCCAGCCTTGCATGGGTTTGGTTGGGACGTCCTCATCTGAGAAGACGTGGCCCCCAAATGAATAGGGAGGCACTCACGTTAATTTTTCTCAACTAGTATCTGAAGGGTTGTCATGCTCTCTCTGCTTTCTAATGTACATAGAGGTGTCTACATGCAAACGGATAGCAGCTGAGACACGCTGTGTAACTTGCAGCTTACATGTAAATAATTCGGAGGTGAGTACTGCGATGCAGTTACACGTCGTAACCACCTGAATTTTATGGGGGAACCTTCTGCACGTATTCATGCATGAAGAACACACATTTGAACAGGGGCATAGGCAGTGTTTGTCAAGCTCTGGAATGTGGATGACAAAGGACATCTTAAAATTCCTTGATTTGGGGCCAATGACAAGCAAGACATTTACAGATTTAGATGACTTGTCAATCCCAAGCTGGAATTCATAAAATTGGCTGGTCTGTTTAAAGCTGCCTCTTTCTGGAAGCTTCCTCTGCACACTCTAGCTACAGCAGGGCCTTACCATGGCTCATTGTCCCACCAGTCCCTTCCACTGCTCTTGTTCCTGGTCTCATAGGCTACACACAACCACTATCATCTTTCTCCACCATTTGTCTAGAAGAGGGAGGGGACTCTGCCTAGGTCTCATCATTGTGTATGAATTGACAGAACAGTGCCCAGTTTACAGGCAGTGCTGAACACAGATCAGTTAAATGAATGAATATGATCTTTACTATTAGGTTTCTGGTGATTTTCTAAAGTCTACAGACAAGAAAAGCACTGGCCAATGAAGGTCAATGTCAAAGCACAAGGCTGGTATTGAGACTGGAGTACGGCATGTAGTGTTGAAGATAAATTGAGGCATATTAATATTAAAGAGTTGATTTGAGGCCAGCCATGGTGGCTCATGTCTGTAATCCCAGCACTTTCGGAGGCCAAGGTGGGTGGATCATTTGAGTCCAGGAGTTCAAGGCCAGCCTGGCCAACATGGCAAAACCGTGTCTCTACTAAAAATACAAAAATTAGCTAGGCATGATGGTGGGTGCCTGTAATCCCAGCTACTTGGGAGGCCATGGCAGGAGAATCACTTGAACCCAGGAGACAGTGGTTGCAGTGAGCCGAGATCATACCACTGCACTCTGGTCTGGGAGACAGAGGGAGATTCTGTCTCAAAAAAAAAAAAAAAAAAAAGAATTGATTTTGATTTGAGCAAACAGCAATCATGGGTGGGCCAGCTCTGGATCACAAGTGGTTCATGGCTCCACAGAAGGGGCAAAGAGGAAGGCTTTTATGGAGTGAACTCAGAAGCAAGGCAAAGAATTCATCCCAGTGGAAAGTCCCAAGTTAGGGCTTAGCTGGCTGTTTCAGATTGTCCTAGAACATGACCACTGAGTTGGGTTTCAGATTGCAGACACAGGAACTCAGGGCATTGGGGCCACCTTGGTCTAGCAGGCTTCCATTTAATTACTTTAACAGCAGGAACCACAGGACACCTCTAACTGTCCTTAAGAGTGTAATTATAGCTCTTTGGCCACTCCCTGTACTAAAAGGAGGAGTGGAGAATTTGGAGAGGATGTAGGCAAAACCACTGTGAGCAATCAAAGTATCAAAGGAATTAACTCATCTAGGAATGCATGTTCCTTATTCTGCAGTACCTGGAAGGGCTTTTGGTGTGTGACAGCAATGTGAAGCGTCTTTACATCTTAATTCTAAGAGACAGCAGCCACGATGTGGGAAGAACTTCCTAGTTAAATGTGCTCTGAAAAGTTGGACTGTACTGTCGAGGGAGACTATGGGAGTTTCTTTGTTCAGAAACACTTAAGAAAGTACTCATAGGCCCACATTAAGTAAGTGATGCCTACAGGTGTCTTCTGTTTCTGTGAATTGGTGTGGAGAACCCAATGTTTATTGAGTGCCTATGTGCTGAGTTAGGCATGACTCTCTTTCTCTGTCTCCTCTCTCTCACACACACTTACTTTAACATAGGAGGAAACTGCATCCTGAGAGGCTCATATAACTACTTTGACCCCACTAGTCTTGGAAGAGCTGAAACTCCCTCCTAGATTGAACTGTACAGCCCACCAGCTTTCTACTGACTCGTGTTAGAGAGCAGTGGGCAAAGAGTACAAACTGCATTGAGGTTCTCTACTCACAGCGTTGCCTTACAACACATCAAAAATGCACCTCCTGAAAGGTTATCGCTGCACCCATTGCAATCCTGATCTGAAAGTTCACAGTACTTGTTTGTCCTGTCTACCAGCAACCCTTCAGAAAGAGTCTCCATTGACTTATTTCAGAGGCAACAAAATGAGCTTCAGGGAGAGATGGTGTAGGTCCGTGGTCCGATTGGTGTCCAACGCTGGTCTCAAATGTCTCAGTTGTCCTTGTCTTTTGAGATCAGAATCCACAGATTTTCATTTCTGATGCACCAGATCAAGGACTAGTCCCCCTTGGCTACTCCCCAGTCAGACATGATAAAGGTGCCTCATCACCCACTGGAGAGGTGTCTTCAGGGGGAAGTCAAGATTACAACTAAGTATCTTTTGGGTCAAAATGTTTGTAAAGTATTATGAGGAGATGAATTTGTCCAAATACTCAAATTTTGTGCTTTGTAAAACACAGTAGGTTGTATAATATAGACGAGACGCCTTGCCACATCAGTAATTCCCCCCATATTCACACGGTGCCCCTGTTCCTTGGAAGACATGGTATTTTTTTAATAGCTCATGTTGGGCCCACAGGATTCCTGAAAAGTGCAGTGGTCTGTCCTGTCCTCCTTTTAGAGACTAATACCCAGCCTCAGTTCCAACACCGAGCAGGAGTGACAGTGGAGTGTTCCCACACTGGATGTTCAGGGGAATTAACAAAGATGAGTGATGGCCTCCCAAGTGGTTAAGGGGGTGCCTGTGTACAGCGTTGTAGGAGCAAAAAATGTGATGGGGTGACAAATTTAAAGGAAAACAAAAAGAGGAAGAGAGAAAAACGGAGATTTGTAAAAAGCAAGAGAGAAAATGAGATGTCCCACTGCCCCTGAATACCCAAAGGGGCGTGCTGAAGTACCTCAGGGATATGATTCTATGCTATTGTGATGGTTAATACTGAGTGTCAACTTGATTGGACTGAAGGATGCAAAGTATTGATCATGGGTATGTCTGTGAGGGTGTTGTCAAAGGAGATTAACATTTGAGTCAGTGGGCTGGGGAAGGCAGACCCACCCTTAATCTGAGTGGACACCATCTAATCAGCTGCCAGTGTAGCTAAAATATAAAGCAGGCAGAAAAACATGAAAAGACTAGACTGGCCTAGCCTCCCAGCCTACATCTTTCTCCTGTGCTGGATGCTTCCGGCCCTTGAACATCGAACTCCAAGTTCTTCAGTCTTGGGACTCAGACTGGCTCTCCTAGCTCCTCAGCTTGCAGATGGCCTATTGTGGGACCTTGTGATCATGTGAGTTAATACTACTTAATAAACTCCCCTTTACACACACACACACACACACACACACACACACCTCCTATTAGTTCTGTCCCTCTGGAGAACCCTAATATAGTTATTTATTTATTTATTTGTTGAGACAGAGTCTCGCTCTGTCACCCAGGCTGGAGTGCAGTGGCGCAATCTCGGCTCACTGCAAGCTCTGCCTCCCAGGTTCATGCCATTCTCCTGCCTCAGCCTTCCGAGTAGCTGGGACTACAGGCACCTGCCACCACGCCTGGCTAATTTTTTCGTATTTTTAGTAGAGATGGGGTTTCATCATGTTAGCCAGGATGGTCTCGATCTCCTGACCTTGTGATCTGCCCACCTCAGCCTCCCAAAGTGCTGGGATTACAGGCGTGAGCCACTACTCCTGGCCTACTTACTTATATTTTTGAGACAGGGTTTTACTCTGGTCCACCATGTGGGAGTGCAGTGGCGTGATCATAGCTCACTGCAGCCTCCACCTCTCCAGTTCAAGCAATCCTCCCACCTCAGCCTCCCTGGTAGCTGGGACTACTGATATGCACCACAACACTCAGCTAATTGTTTGTATTTTTAGACGAGACAGGATTTTGCCATGTTGCTCAGGCTGGTCTTGAACTCTTGGACTCAAGCCTTGGCCTCCCAAAATGCTGGGATATTACATGTTACTATTGGGCCCTAAACTAGTGCTTTATGCGAATCATCTTTTTTAATTCTCACAGCCACCCTAACTGGTAGGTACTATTATCATCCACATTTTTCAGAGGAGGAAACTGAGGCACACAAAAGTTGAATAACTTACTCAAGCCCACCAGCTCGTAAAAGACACAGCTGGGATTAGAACTCAGGTAGAACTGACCCAAGGATTTTCTATTTCCTTCCAGTTGCTGAAAAATCACTAAACTCATGAGGCAATTTCATAAGTCTATATCTTGTCTGGGTTGCTAGTAATTAGCAATCATTACATGAAATCTGACATGTGAAAGTGAAACACAATTGGAAGACGTTTTGTGACATGGATGTAAAGTATATATTTCTTGAGGGTAGAGTTGTTTCACTGCCACTGTGTTCTACATTTAGGCCTTTGCTGAGGTTGGAAGTATTCAAATAGATAGATAAAGTCACATCATAATCCCATGTATCAAGTGTCATGGAAGAGTACGCAATCAGGCTTTTGATGAATCCCACGTTTCACTTGCAATCTGCAGATTTCCATATGCTGTGGCTCAGCGATTTGCACTGGCTTCTCAAGCAAATCAGTCATGACTCCAGGCGTGACTCCAGACTGAAATCACTCTTGTCGATATACCTGAAAACAGAGGTTTCCAGCACTGGAGAGAAGCTTTGGTGCGGGGATGGGCTCAGAGGGTCCCGACAGAGGGTGACACTTGCATGGTTGCAGAAGGAAGCTCGCTGCAGTCTGAGTGTGTCTCCGTGGAGCTCGGCATTTGGACACAGCTCACACGCATGAGTGATGCTCTTCCACCTGCATCTTCTGGCACTTGCACTGTGGGGGCCTTCCTCAAAGCCGTGCGCCTCCATCTCAGGGCAACATAGGGCAACTTCTTTCTTCTACTCACATTCTGAATGAAATACATTAATAACTGGCTTAAAAGAATCCAATCCTTTATCAAAAGACTCCAGCATTTTTCCTTCCATTGACTGCTACCTGATATTGAGGAAGGTATAAGGTGTCAGATTCCTGCTGGGACTGGCAGAGAGGGGCAGAGGGAGGCAGGACGGGCTGCTGGGGTGGAGAGTGCAGACAGAAGCCTGCCATCCGCCGGAGTCTGTGAGCTTCAGGGTCCACACGAGCCTCATGGAGAGACAGGCGGCTGCTCCGTCCATCTTCGAACCTGGCTGGCATCGCAGATGCCCGTGCCCAGGGCAGCAGCCATAAAGGCCGTGGCACCTTCTTGCATCTCTAAGTGTGTGGCATTGTGGCTGCCTTTGATTGTTTGGCGGTTTGCTGTGTTCTCTGAGTGTTTTTCCACACATCTGAAGGGCGATTCTTTGTCAACTGCTACTGTCTTGCTAAAGAATCAGCAATTCACACATATAATAAAGCTCACAACCAAAAAAAGCACATTCACATTTTTTTTCTTTCATTTTTCTGCCTGAGTACCTCTACCTTGGAAAACCTCCATCTTGTCATATATGGGCAAGCATTCATGTATTTCAAGTCATGTTTTTGCAGGCAGATGACTGTGTAAGTCCTACATGGCCACCCTGCCAGTGTTTCAAGCAGGCCTCTATCATGTGCTGACCTATGGCTAGGGGTCCCTGGTTTCTCCCACCTTCTTCCTGATGGCCAGGCATACATTCCTGCCCTAAGACTGGAAGGCTGGCAGACCAGCTCAGGTCAGCTGGTTCAAGAAGGGGGAAAGTTTTGCTCATGTCCAAGAGATAACGTAAGATGTTCCTGAAGCTAAACTTCTCTTAGACAGGACACCTGCAGATGGCACCTTTGCTAACCTTGATTGTGCCTTGAGATATTCACCTTTCCTTCAGAGTGAATGCTCCTATCACCTATATCACACTTCATATGATGTAAGATACAATTTATATATTCTTGCTCATTTACTCATTTATTCATTTATAGATTTACCCAGCAAATACTGATCAAGTGCTGAGACATGCTAGGTGCTGGGCTAGGTGTGGAATACAATGGTAAACAAGATTGAGAAAGTTCCTGCCCTCAGGGAGCTTATAGTCAGTCATGGGCAAGTAAACAGGTCATTATAACACAGCAGTGCCCTAAGTGCTATTGCTCTATGTGTGGGAAAACAGGCAACCTGGGGAGCCATGGTTAAGAGGGACGGAGAAATAACACGAATGTGGTGAGGCAGGGTGGTATCCCCAGAGCTGAGACCTTGCAATGGCTAGGATGTTGCTAGAAGAAGGAAATGGAAGCAAGTTCCAGAGCTCAGAAAACATTCTGAGATGGAACTAGAAGAACCTGGATGTGAAGCGGGAGGGCCAGGGAGGCCACGGAGATGGCTGCTGGTTTCAGGTTTGGGCCACAAGTAGATCAATGAAGAAAGAGGAATCCAGAAGTTCCAGTCCGAGGGTGTGTGGGAGGAGGGTGAGTTTCAGAGTCATTAATGGGCCTTTTCTTCAGTAATTCAGAATACTCCTAAGTGAGTATGGCCACTTGGATACCTGGAAATATTCATGGCTCCAGGTAGCTACCAAGAGAAGACTTCATTTTAATTCTTGTCAGGAACTGTGAAGGATCCAAGATTTTGCTTTCTTTGCAAGCTAACAAGTTAGTCTGCTCAGTTTTACGGAGGCCAGGAGAAGACCAGAGGTTCCTGGGTCAGAGACAAAGGACCATGCATTATTTACAGCAATATCTTTTTTCCTGTGCTGGTTTCTCAAATCCCAGTTCTCACAGGGTGGTTTGAAATGGACCAGATGGCAGCTGCACATGGCATGGGTTGCATTACAGGTGTGAGGACCCTGACTTTAGGGAATCTGAGTCTTTTATAATGGGCCGTGAGCAGGACTGCCATTGTCAACAGAGGGAGACATTGTCTTTGTTATAAGCAAACTTCCCCTCTGCTGCGGAAAGAGACAGTATCTCTATCTTCCAAGGCTGTTCACTGTACGATTATTATTGTAACTATGTTATGAAACACAGGGCATTAATCCATCCATGAGGGTAGAGTCCTTAGGACCTAATCACTGCCTAAAGGTCCCACCTCTTAACACTATTACACTGACAATTGAAGTTCAACATGAGTTTTGGAGAGAACAGTGAAACCACAGCAGAATGATAGCAATTTTCACCAACTTCTGTTTAATTGCTTAACCTGTTCTCTCTTGGGATTGTCAGTAAATGCACTGCTCTTGGGGAAAAATGTGGTGAGAGCAAACACAGAGAGAATGGATAAGAAATACTGAATGGGCCGGGCGTGGTGGCTCACGCCTGTAATCCAAGCACTTTGGGGGGCCGAGGCGGGTGGATCACGAGGTCAGGAGATCAAGACCATCCTGGCTAACACAGTGAAACCCTGTCTCTACTAAAAATACAAAAAATTAGCCCGGCATAGTGGCGGGCGCCTGTAGTCCCAGCTACTCGGGAGGCTGAGGCAGGAGAATGGCGTGAACCTGGGAGGCGGAGCTTGCAGTGAGCCAAGATTGCGCCACTGCACTCCAGCCTGGGCAACACAGCCAGACTCCGTCTCAAAAAAAAAAAAAAAAAAAAAAAAGAAATACTGAATGCTGGCCAGGTGCGGTGGCTCATGCCTGTAATCCCAGCACTTTGGGAGGTCAAGGCAGGCGGATCACCTGAGGTCAGAAGTTCGAGACCAGCCTGGCCAACGTGGTGAAACCCTGTCTCTACTAAAACTACAAAAAAAATTAGCACGGCACAGTGGTGCATGCCTGTAAGCCCAGCTACTCAGGAGGTTGAGACAGGAGAATTGCTTGAACCTGGGGGGCGGAGGTTGAAACGAGTCGAGATCACTCCACTGCACTTCAGCCTGGGCAACAGAGCGAGACTCTGTCTCAAAAAAAAAAAAAAGAAATATTGACTGCTAAAATCTACGTTTTCCCATGTATTTAATGTGAGCAATTATGATTAGCTAATCTCAATGCTTATTTGTAGAGTATATCATTAACTGGAAAGAAATAAACCTTGAGCCACTGAAGAAATGGCTTTTTCTATAAATTAAATAGTCTTTCAAACATAACAAATGTTTTTAGGAACTACGAAATTTTTAAATTTAATACTAGATCAAATCAGCAGATAAACATTTTATGTGGTTCCTTTTAGATGTGGTACACATTATTTAACAAGGTAGTTAAAACCTGTTTTATTAAATCATATCATAAAATGTTTATTCCCAGTGCAATCAATACTCATATTTTATATTATAAAGTGTTTAATATTTTCCACCTCTTATTAACAACAAATTAAAATTGTTTGCTAGCTGCTGAGTCAGAATATTTTCTTTTCTTTCTTTCTTTCTTTTCTTTTCTTTTTCTTTTTCTTTTTTTTTGAGATGGAGTCTTGCTCCATTGCCCAGGCTGGAGTGCAATGGCGCGATCTTGGCTCACTGCAACCTCCGCCTCCCGGGTTCAAGAGATTCTCCTGGCTCAGCCTCCCGAGTAGCTGGGATTACAGGCGCCTGCCACCACACCCCGCTAATTTTTGTATTTTTAGTAGAGACAGGGTTTCACCATATTGGCCAGGCTGGTCTCAAACTCCTGACCTCAGGCAATCCACACCCGCCTTAGCCTCCCAAAGTGATGGGATTACAGGCGTGAGCCACTGCATCCGGCAATAATATTTTCTATCTATAGCTATATCTACGTTTAAGCTTTTCACTTTCTTGACAATGTTTGATCATGAATAAAGTTATTTCTCTTTATTACATGACTCTTACTTAATTATTCACAGATGCCAAACACTGGGGTGCATTTTAATGCATGCACACATGTGTACCCACCAAAGGACTCCAGGCTATCCTTGCTTCATAAATAACTGTAATTTCAGCAACACATAATATTCCTTTATTACAAATCAAGTACAAGAACAGATAGATTTATTTTAGTTTGTTAAACTTTGTGAAATGGTTAAATGAATATTCTATGTCATTCTGATCCTGACTGTTTTTCATAACTCATCTTGCAAGATAGATATCTACTTTTTAGTGACCCCCAACAATATTCCTTGGAACACATGTTAGCATATTTTTACATTAACAATATTCACTTCCTCTGATTTTTTTTTTTTTTTTTTTTTTTTGAGACGAAGTCTCACTCTTGTCATCCAGGCTGGAGTTTAATGGCGCCATCTTGGCTCACTGCAACCTCTGCCTCCCGGGTTCAAGCGATTCTCCTGCCTCAGCCTCCCAAGTAGCTGGGATTACAGGCGCCCGCCATCACCATGCCCAGCTAATTTTTTTTTTTTTTTTTTTTTGTATTTTTAGTAGAGATGGGGTTTCACCATGTTGGCCAGGCTGGTCTCTAACTCCTGACCTCCAGCAATCTGCCCACCTCGGCCTCCCAAAGTGCTGGGATTACAGACATGAGCCACTGCACCTAGCCTCTGATTTTAGCTATTGGTGTGAAGACTGAGTTTGTTAAATATTTTACCTTTTCTATAAATTAAATGACTCAGCAACTTCCATTTGGGTAAGAATATATTTAAAGCACATGACAAAAATATTTTATCAAGAGATGCTTTACTGGCAAAGGCGTATTGAAAATAACAATATTTAATATTTTTTCAACTCTTTCTGAATGTATTAAATGAAGGGTTTCTAAATGCACAAAATAAAAGGTACAATTAATAGTTATTCGTAAGATCCTCATAAAACCTTTATGGCATACTTCTAAAAAACTGAAAAGGTAAATCAGCGTGCCAATAATTTCATGGCAAAGGGCAAAAAATACTTTTGCTTCTAATTCTTTGTTCCTGAAGATTTTGAAAAATAAAAATATGTTTTGATGATAGACTATCATGTGATTTTGGCATATAACTGCAAATGACTTTTAAAAAATAGAATGATACTGCTAAAAGACTTCTTCCATTGCAATGTACCTATTTATATGAACAAAGTTATTTAGTGCTTACATTAATTAAAATGAAAAATGGAAGAAATTCATATTGAGGGCTGTCTGATTCCAGCTGTAAGCAGTATGCGTCCGCGGCATCTCAGTAAGTTGGATGTTCCCATTACCATTTCACTTTTTGTTTAACAAGTAGTCAACAAAACTTATAATGTATTTTTGTTGTTTGGATTAACTGTTTACTACTAATAATTAATTTTAATAACTCAAGTAGGAAAAAATGTTAACCTCAGAACCTCGTTTTTAATTCTAGAAATTAAAAATTAAAGGCTTTGTACATATTTTCATTACAGAAATATATACTGGATGACCAATAAAATATTTTCAAATATAAACACATGTTAGAGAATAAGAGAAGTGAAATGGACTACTAGGAGTATGAGGCCCGATATAAACTCCCTTTGATAAAGAAGAGCCCATTCATGTGTTTACAAAATGAATGATGTGGACCCTCTGGTGTACAGATTCTATTTCTGTCATTTAAAAGATTGCTGTCTCTCTTCTTTTATAAAATATTTGTCAGTATTAGGCTGAGCACTGTGGCTGTCACCTGTAATCCCAGCACTTTGGGAGGCCGAGGCAAGCAGATCACCTGAGGTCAGGAGTTCAAGACCCGCCTGGCCAACATGATGAAACCCCATCTCTGCTAAAAATACAAAAATTAGCCAGGCGTGGTGGCACACGTCTGTAATCCCAGCTACTCGGGAGGCTGAGAGAGGAGAATTATCTGAACCCGGGAGGCAGAGGTTGCAGTGAGTTGAGATCACGCCATTGCATTCCAGCCTGGGTGACAAGAGCGAAACTCCATTAAAAAAAAATTGTCAGTTTTTATAACACTCCAGGAGTTTCACTTTTTGCTACTACTTAAGCCTGGGTAAAATTTTATGATGGACTTAAACACTTGTGAGGAGGTACATTGTTTTCAAAATTTTGTATGTGGGGAATATATTATTAGGAAAACAGTTTGAAGACCACCACTCCATACCATTCCAATAGTAAGCATTCTATTCACTTGCTATTTTACTCAAGAGATTTTGCCAGTATGCTCTTGGAAGAGTTCAACATTGCCATAGATCATAGGGAAAATGATTACTTATTTCTGTGTCTGCTTAAAGTTTTCTGTGTGCTTTTTTCCTCTGCCATTATCCCAGGCTAACGTCTACGGTGCAGGGTGAGGGAGGGTGGCATCTGCCTGCCGGCTGTTGGGGAATTTCCCTAAG